>NC_000003.12:163857089-164008604 GCF_000001405.40 Homo sapiens | reverse complement strand
AGTTGTGAGGGTAACAGCTCAAGGTTATCACTGAACGAGTCAAATGAAAGTAAAAAAGTATCGAGTTTGGACTTCTAGCATTCATGCAGCTGTATAAAGGAATAATATTGAATTAAATCACAAGGATCTTTTGCTCAAAGTCACGAGTAAGTCTATACAACCTGAGGAATCCTCTGGGATCCCATATCTTGAGAACTCTTACAGAAAGTGAAAGGGCCCTTTATAAGAAAAACAATGAAGACAAAAGAAGTCTAAATTTAAATCATATTTATTTTCCTTTTATTCATAAAATCTCATATGTGGTATACTGATATGTGTTCACATGCACATTAACTGTCCACAAATAATCACTGCATTTTTGATAATGATATCAAAAAATAGGGAGCAGTAACATCAAAGTAAAATGTGCTACAATATTACATTAAATTAAAAAAATAGTAATGGAAAAATAGAAATGTCAAAGATAAAATGGAATACAGCCATTGTTATGTGTTCAGTTTATTGTAGAAAGATAATGCATTTTATACCCTACATGATATGTAATTGGAATTGGGATAGTTATGTAATTAAGATGGCATGCTGCCTTCCATTATAATCCCCACCCACTAGAGAAATGACAGATGGGTAATTTCAAGCCTTTAACTGCAGAGAGGGAATGGGCTTATTGCTTCATCTGTCAGGTAAGCCACTTCGCAGTCATCTCTGACTTCATTAAAGCTTTCCAATCTTAGAAGAAATATATTTCAATATGGAAAATAGGTTGTTTGGGGATATTTATGCTTCACCTCTCTCATTGCTTCAGTTGTCCTATGTCAAATTTCTGCTCAGAACTCTTCTACAAAGTCAATGATAAATTTGGCCATATTCCTGTAAATCCTCAGAAACAAGATAATTAGACCTGGAACTTCAATCATCTCTCCATATCTAAACATTTTCCTTTCCTTTAGGATGACCCTAAACAAAGTAAAAATTAGACAAATATTTTTCAAATTCTCTCTTATTTCATTAACTTACAATAAGCCTTTCCTTTCCTAATATTATATGATTATTTGTACTGTAAGTTCAGGAATAACACACAAGACACTCATATTTATAATGTCATGGTCCTATTTTTACAAGAATGCCTATTTTATTCAAATTACAATGAAAGTATAATTAACTATAAAGCACTACATCTCATTTTTAATATTATTCACATCGAAAGCACTGGGAAAATAGCAAGCGACTTTAAGTACTTTCTTAAGGTTGAACCATACTGTATGGATATGATAATAAACAGTAGAATGATATTTAAGTAGAATAAGGAAAAGAAAACTGCAACCATCATATGGCAGCAAACCAATTTATTCAGTTAGCAAATTAAATAAACCACATAAAGATCCCCACAATAGTTTGTTTGTTTAAGGGAAATTAATTATGGGTTGTGCTTATAGCCATCAGTTGTTATTTCAGCAGTCTAGTTAGGTGAGAGAATCTTAGCAGGAACAGTTTTAAGTGTATGTAAATATAGCAAAGCATTATGCAAAATCTGTCAGTGAATAATCTTTATTGGAAGTTTTCAGATACAGGTTTGCTATTTAATCTATCACAACTTTTAAACTTACTAAATGGTATTAAAATAATCTAGAATTTAACTCTTTTTTTTTTTTTTTTTCCTGAGACAGTCTCGCTGTATTGCCCAGGCTGGAGTGCAACGGCACAATCTTGGCTCACCGCAACATCCACCTCCCCGGGTGCGAGTGATTCTCCTGCCTCAGCCTCCCTAGTAGCTGGGATTACAAGCACTTGCCAAGATTCTTGGCTAATTTTTGAATTTTAATAGAGAAGGGGTTTTACCATGTTGGCCAGGCTGATCTTGAACTCCTGACCTCAGGTGATCTGCCTGACACGGCCTCCCAAACTGCTGGGATTACAGGTCTGATCCACCATGATTTAACTCTTAAATCCTAAGTATAAAATGAGTTTACAAGAAATTCATGTTTTTGTTTTTGGTTTTTCAGATCTCAAATATAGTATTCTTGTTAAAGTAAACTGCAAATCAAGAAAGCATCTACTTAGCAGAGAATTGTCTCAAAAACGTTTACATCCTGATGATCAAAAATGATTAGCTTTACTTCCCAGGTTTTATAAATCAGGTAATATCGATTTCCATATTTATTCAATAGAGTTAAACTCGATTGCTTGTATTTAAGGTTGTGTGTGTGTGTGTGTGTGTGTGTGTAAAATTCCACCCAATAAACACTGCATTTCTAGCTTAGAAAATGTAATAACCAGTTGTTTTCTTTCTCTCAGCTAAGACAACACATTTCCATTTAATTAAAGTCTCAAACATGGCCCAAGTTCACACTAGAATTGCGATGTTTGCTAACTAAATAAATGGATTTGTTGGCATCTAGCATCACAATAGTTTGTAGACTGACTTCTCTTTTGGCAGAAAACCCCTGGAATTTCAAAACCTTAATTCCTATGTTTAAATGCAAAAGTGCTAGCTAAAATAAAGGGTCAAAATGAGATAGATTAACCATTTTATTTCTCCTTCATATTTTAGTTAAAAACATATAACACACGTTTCCTGTTTTCAGCTGCATTATAGCTCCTTAAATTTGAAAATAACACAGAACTATACAAAACCAAAGATGGAGATTTTATATTTTATAAAAATTATCTCAAACCCATATTTTTAGTTTCCAAAGTTTTTAATCTATATTCATCATAACAACTATAATATTTGAATAGCTGTTAGAAATAAAATTTTCTTAACAAAAAAGGATCTATAGCTTTGTTTTCTATTCTACTCACATTTATTGGCTAATTTCTAATTAATTATAATATTATTTATTTTTATTTTGTTTCTTCAACTTTTATTTTAAGTTCTGGTATACATGTGCAGGATGTGCAGGTTTGTTATATAGGTAAATGTGTGGCATGGTAGTTTGCTGCACAGATTAACGCATCACCAAGCTATTAGGCCCTGCATCCATTAGCTATTCTTCTAGATGCTCTCCTTCCCCAAACCCCTCCCAACAGGCCCCACTGTGTGTTGTTCCCCTGGATGTGTCCACGTGTTCTTATCGTTCAGCTCCCACTTATAAGTGAGCACATGTGGTGTTTGATTTTCTGTTCCTGCATTAGTTTGCTGAGAATAACAGCTTCCACCTCCATCCATGTTCCTGCAAAAGACATGATCTCATTCCTTTTTATGGCTGCATAGTATGCCATCGTATATGTAGCACGTTTTCTTTATCCAGTTTATCACTGATGGGTATTTGCGCTGGTTCCATGTCTTTGCTATTGTGAATAGTGCTGCAATGAACATACATGTAGATGTATCTTTATAACAAAATGATTTATATTTCTTTGGGTATATCCCCAGTAACGGGATAACTGAGTCAAATGATGTTTCTGCTTCTAGATCTTTGAGGAATCACCACACTGTCTTCCACAATGGTTGAACTAATTTACATTCCCACCAACAGTGTAAAAGTGTTCCTTTTTCTCCACAACCTTGCCAGCATCTATAGTTTCTTGACATTTTAATAATGGCCGTTCTGACTAGCATGTGATAATATCTCTTTGTGGTTTTGATTTGCATTTCTCTAATGATCAGTAATATTGAGATTTTTTTATATGTTAGATGTTGGCTGCATGAACATCTTCTTTTGAGAAGTGTCTGTTCAAGTCCTTGGTTTTTTAATGGTTTTTTTTTTCCTGTGAATATTATAATTTAAATATGACAAGACTAACTTTAAAAGAGAGCAAACTTGATTATGAAAAGAGTACAAATAAAAAACAGTGAGCAACAAATTTAACCATAAAACAGAAAAAAAATCCTTCTTTTCTCAGATAAATCAGAAAGTGAGGATAAAACCAGAAACATGTTCATGTTTCTGAATTTGATTTGGCAAAGCTTCCCTGGATAATAATTGGTGAATAATCTTGAACATTTACGGGCAATTTAAAGAGATAGCATGTAAAGGGACAAATTATTAATTCTGTAATATCTTTTAAAATCCTTCTGTCAAAGAATAGACCCAATTTGGCTGCTGAAGGATGGTTTGAGTCGACATGTTGGTTACCCTGAGTCTCTAGATAGCAGGCGCGTTAGCGCTGCCATCACTCGCTGTACCTTCGAGACCCACTGGGTGGCGGGCCCAGGCCTTACTGGCCGGGAGCCAGAGGAAGGCGAGCTGCAGGAGGTGGAAAGGTACCGGCTTTTCCCTGGGCCCTCAGCTTGAAGCAAGGCCTCTCTCCCGCCACCGCCCCAGGCCGCCGCGTTGGCGCCAGGCGTCCTGCTTGGCAGCGGCCCTTATTCCTTCTTAGCGGTGTTGTCAGGGGCGCAGCGTCAGGTGTTTGGCTCCCCTGGGACCACTGGTCCCTGTGTGTCCGGAATTGGTGGGTTCTTCGTCTCACTGACTTCAAGAATAAAGCGGCGGACCCTCCCGGTGAGTGTTACAGCTCTTAAGGTGGGGCGTCTGGAGTTTGTTCCTTCTGATGTTCTGATGTGTTCGGAGTTTCTTCCTTCTGGTGGGTTCGTGGTCTCGCTGGCTCAGGAGTGAAGCTGCAGACCTTTGCGGTGAGTGTTACAGCTCTTAAGACAGCACGTCTGGAGTTGTTCATTCTTCCCGGTGGGCTCGTGGGCTCGCTGGCTTCAGGAGTGAAGCTGCAGAGCTTCGCAGTGAGTGTTACAGCTCATAAAGGCAGTGTGGACCCAAAGAGTGAGCAGCAGCAAGATTTATTGCAAAGAGGGAAAGAACAAACCTCCCACACTGTGGAAGGGGACCCGAGCGGGTTGCCACTGCTGGCTTGGGCAGCCTACTTTTATTTTCTTATCTGCTCCCCCCGCCCCCCCACCCACGTCCTGCTGATTGGTAGAGCCAGGTGGTCTGTTTTGACAGGGCGCTGATTGGTGCCTTTACAATCCCTGAGCTAGACACAAAGGTTCTCCACGTCCCCACCAGATTAGTTAGATACAGAGTATCCACACAAAGGTTCTCCAAGGCCCCACCAGAGTAGCTAGATACAGAGTGTCCATTGGTGCATTCACAAACCCTGAGCTAGACACAGGGTGCTGATTGGTGTGTTTATAAACCTTGAGCTAGATACGGAGTGCCCACTGGTGTATTTACAATCCCTGAGCTAGACATAAAGGTTCTCCACAGCCGCACCAGACTCAGGAGCCCAGCTGGCTTCACCCAGTGGATCCCGCACTGGGGCTGCAGGTGTAGCTGCCTGCCAGTCCCGTGCCGGGCGCCCACACTCCTCAGCCCTTTGGTGGTCGGTGGGACTGGGCACCCTGGAGCAGGGGGTGGTGCTCGTCGGGGAGGCTCTGGCGCCACAGGAGCCCATGGAGGAGGTGGGAGGCTCAGGCATGGTGGGCTGCAGGTCCGGAGCCCTGCCCCGCGGGAAGGCAGCTAAGGCCCGGTGAGAAATGGAGCGCAGCGCTGGTGGGCTGGCACTGCTGGGGGACCCAGTACACTCTCCGCAGCCACTGGCCTGGGTGCTAAGCTCCTCATTGCCCGGGCTGGCAGGGCCGGCGGGCTGCTCCCAGTGCGGGCCGCCAAGCCCACGCCCACCTGGAACTCCAGCTGGCCAGCAAGCGCTGCGCGCAGCCCTGGCTCCTGCTCTCACCTCTCCCTCCGCACCTCCCTGCAAGCTGAGGGAGCCGGCTCTGGCCTTGGCCAGCCCAGAAAGGGGCTCCCACAGTGCAGCGGTGGGCTGAAGGGCTCCTCAAGTGCCGCCAAAGTGGGAGCCCAGGCAGAGGAGGTGCCTGAGAGCGAGTGAGGGCTGTGAAGACTGCCAGCACGCTGTCACCTCTCACCTTCACTAATGACCTATTTCATCACCCGTTTAGAGAGTTCGGTATGCTTAAGGGCAGTTATTGTTTTAGGTGTTAGCTTTCTCAGTGTACAGAGCAGCTCTAAGCTGGCAACGTGGCACGGTTGCCCTTGCGATCAAATAGAAGTGGGCTAGGAGCTCTGTGATTTAGCCTGAGGCTCTTCAAACATCCATCCTACTTCCGTGCATGGCTTCTGCCATTGGCTCTCTCCCCCAGCACCCTGCCACGACAGAAAAAAGCAATCCGATTCCAGAAAATCCGGAGGCAAATGGAGGCGCCTGGTCCTGGTTAGTTCCCAGGTTGATGGAAGGCTTTGATGTCTGCACTGATGTGATCCGAAGTTGTTGTTGTGGTCGTTGTTGTTGTTGTTGTTTTTTAATGGAGTTCTGCCCTGTCGCCCAGGCTGAGTGCAATGGCGGATCTCCACTCACTGACACCTCCGCCTCCCAGGTTCAAGCGATTCTCCTACTTCAGCCTCCCGAGTAACTGGGATTACAGGCCCGCGCTACCACACCTGGCTAATTTTTTTGTATTTTTAGTAGAGACGGGGTTTCACCATGTTGGCCAGGCTGGTCTCAAACTCCTGACCTCAGGTGATCCACCCACCTCGGCCTCCCAAAGTGCTGGGATTACCGGCGTGAGCCACCCCTCCCGGAAGAGTTTTAAAAGGCAAGTTTGTACCCACATTGGAGCAGAAGCTGAAGCCGGATCAAAAAGTCCTTAAGAAAGCTGGGCTTGCCTACTCGCTTCAGCAGCTCCAGGGCTCTGGAAATACCTGGAAGCTGCTCCCTGCAGGCCACTCTGTATCAGGCTCTTTGCTTATGCTAGGGCATGAAGCCTCATCCAAAGCCCCGAATTACAGCACAACTTTGAAAGTGATAGAGTCAAACACTTACAGGACAAATACACCAAGGGGATGGAAGGGAAGAAATAAAGGAATCCAGGACCTGGAGGAGAGCTTTGTGACTGTTGCTGCAGTCCTGGGTCATCAGAGAAAGCTGCAGAAGTACTCCAGTGATTGTGAGAGCATCAGAAGAACTGGCCATGGTGGGTTGCCAAGTGATCAGAAGCTGGAGGAGTTAAAGGCAGGGGAGCCAGATAACCAGCAACAAAGTAGTGCAGAGGGGCGAGAGTTATTTGACAGCAGCGGGAACTTCCTGTACAGAATTTGAGTCGGGGCTTGACTTGTGGAGATGCCTCCTGAAAAACATCTGGGCAAGTATTAATATATGTGGAGCAGCCTGGATTTCCGTATATTTGGATAAACCAGCTTGAAATAGGAAGGAGTGATGAGCCTGGAATGTGGGAGGAAAGAGCTGCGTGGATAGATTCAAACTTCCTGTAGTAGTGCTCCCAGTCTGACCTCTGTAGATCTTCAGTACTGAACACTTCTTGCTTGGGTCCGCTGTATGTTGAAAATCAGTCTGTGCTGCATGTGTTGTTTCAATTTTCTGTGGTACTTGCAATATATGTTTGAGAGGAAGTGAAAAGTTTGCCTTCTGACCTCCTTTCCTTCTTGATCAGTGAACACTAACAGTTCTGGGAAAACTTGGTCAATTGGTTTTCCTTAAAAGCAAAATAAAGTAAAATGTAGCAAAAAAAAAAAAAAATACCCACTTTTAGGATAATTATTAGTTACAAAATATAAATTTTGTCGATTGTCCAATAAAAATTATTACACCTTATCTACTCTTTCATTATTAGCATGTATCATGGCATATGACCTAACATCAAATAGAAGTTTAATTTAAAGTATTTATGGGATTTTAAAAAGCTATGGATACATGACAATATTTTAAAATTATTCTGTAATTCTTTATATCACAAGTAAAATGAATCAAAACAAAATATTTTATGTGCTGAAAGGAAAAGATCCATTGAATCTGATAAATATCAGAAGATAAGGGCTAAATGCAGTACAGTTTGGAAGATATTGTGAAAAGGAAATGGAAGAAGCTCACATCAGGCTTATCTGCTGTGTTTACAGTGAGGTGTAGTGAAGAAGGAATGAAGGCAATTTCAAAGGATCAAAACTCATTCATTTTGGAGGAGGAGTTCAGGCGTGCAGTCAGAATGCAAAAAGAACATAGAATAAGAAAACTCTAAACCCATTTTACTCATCAGGAATACCAATTTTAAAAAATAGCAATGGTTGATGTAGGTTAAAAAAGATGAAATATGTATAAGTGCCTGTGATGCATACAAAAATTATTTACACATAAATACAAATACATATAAACATAAGTTTACAGAAAATATATACATTATATATTGCATATATTTATACATAATATAATTATAGGATGAATATATACCTATATATATTTTGTGTGCATATATATGTATGTGTAAATATAGAATGTATTTTCTTTAATTTGGCATATGCATCAGAAAAACAGGCATCTGGAAAGTATTGAGACTCTGAAGTGAAGAGAGAGAAAATGCTCACTAAATTATACACAAATAGCCTAGATATCAATTTAGCCATCAAGAACAGAATAAATTAACCTAGAAAAAATTGTACAATTTCATATATAAGTTTACCTTCTAATAGAGAAGATCATATATTTACAATCTAGTGGGCCATAAATGGGGCAAAAATTCAAATGAATTTATAGAGAAAGTTTGGAAAATATTCTTAAAATTAGATACCCATGGTTTTTCATCTGTCTGTTCTCATAGAATCAAATAAATTAACAGAAAAGGTTCTCTACAGTTTTCTAGAGAACACCTGTTCCCTACAAAAACAGGGAAATGATTTCGCCAGCAGTGTTTTTTAGTATATGAAAGACACAGATTGACCAAGTAAAGTAAAATCAATTCATTATAACCCAGAAAAAATTTCAAATAACCACAACATCCACAGTCCTATGTAAGAACATAAGAGGGTTATATTTTTAAAATATAAATTTAGATAAAATTTTAGAAGGGTAAAACTCTTGATATCATTGAACATCATACAAGGAAGCTAAATAAAACAAATAATTTATAAAATGTAAGGGACAGAATTTTAAAATGACTTGAATTTAACCAAAAAATACAAGAACAATTACAAAGAAAAATAAAGTCATTGTACAACTTAAAAGCAAATGAATGACAGAAAATATCAGGCTAGAACTTTTCTTACTTTAAATAAATATGGCATATTAAAAAACAACAGAAATTATAGATCTAATGGCTAGCTAATGATATCTAGTGGTTAGCTAATGAAGATTCCCCAAAATCGTTAGTTTGGCCCTGACAGACAAGCTAATGAAGATGCCCAGAAACGTTTAGTTTGCCCATGACAGAGAATCTGTCTTACGGAAAACAGCTGTGAAATCAACATAATATGTAGAAATAGTTGTTTAAAGGGATTTATGAGAAACCAACAGTGGAAACACTTGAGGGAGTGTTAGTGATCACTGAATGGAATCACAAGCAGGTGCACATCATCTTTATCACATCATTTTTCTTGAGATTATTTATCAATAGACCTTGGCAGAATGTTGCAGTTACACTGTCCAGAAGGAAACAAAAGCTGAAGACCAGATTAGTCAAAGTGGCTGGAAAAGGGAGAGCATATGAAGAACAGAGAAAATCATGGGAATGACCACTAAAAAACCACATGCAGTCTCCATCTCCGTCAGGCAAATATCAGAATATGACTCTAATAATCCAGTGAAATGTAAAAGGAGAAAGACTAAAGAGCTGAGATAAGATTTCTGAAGGTACTCTGCTGGGAAGAAGTTGGAATTTAATGCCAATGTGGAGTGGTGAGGTAAATACCCTAAGATTTCAGTTGAGACTACAGAACTCACAAAATAGAAGGGAAAACTGAAACACAGTATATACTAACAAAGAACAAAAACTAATCTTTTACAGGATTAAAATATTCTGCTTCTGTTTTATATTCCTGACAGAAGGAAACCTAACTCTTGCAGGAGAAAGAAGACATAGTCTAGTATTTCTACAAATTGTAACTGTGATGCTGATAGCCCATTTAAACAAACAAACAAAAAACAAAACACAACAAAAAGACAACAAAAAACTTCAAAACACATCTAAAGAACAAAACCATATGATTAAAAACGAGATAAAAATGTACTATGGAAAAGAGGCACAAAAATGATTTGAATTTAGGTATTGTAAGATTGAAATTTTTAAAATAGATGTGCTAATTTTGTTCAAGCAAATTAAGCAAAATATGAACTAAAGAGAAAATGTGAGTCTTTCTAAAGTTATTGATCTGATTTGGCTCTGCCCCTACCCAGATCTCACCTTGAATTGTAATAATCCCCACATGTCAGAGGCAGGGCCAGGTGGAGATAATTAAATCATGGGGGCAGTTTCCCTCATCCTGTTCTAGTAGTAGTAAATGAGTCTCAGGAGATCTGATGGGTTTATAAATTGGAGTTCCCTGCACAAGCGCTCTTGCCTGCACCACCTAAAATGTGACTTTGCTTCTCATTCACTTTCCACAATGATTGTGAAGCCTCGCCAGCCATGTGGAACTGTGAGTCAATTAAACATCTTTCCTTTATAAATTACCAGTCTCGGGTAGGTCTTTATTAGCAGCATAAGAACAGACTAATACAGGTATAAAATAAAAATTCTAAAATAGAAAATGCTATCATTGAAATTAATAATTTAATTAATTATTAAACAAGAAGAAAACTTAGTAAACTAGAAAGCACTTGAAGCATTGAAGGAAAATAGAGAATGTAAGAAATACAGAAACGACAATCAAGGACATGTTAACATGGTGCAAAAGTCTAATATACTTGTAATTAGAGTTTAAGAAGAAAGAAAAAAGATAAGTTAGAAAAACTAGAAGAAATACTGGCTTTTTTTTCAAAATTTACAAAAGATATTGAACTCTAGGATTTTTTAAAAATAAAAGGCTCTACAAAATGCAAGGAAAATTAGTATACAGAAAGCCACAACTAGGCACATTATAGTAAAATTTTGAAAAGAAAAGAAAATGTTAATAAAGGAAGCCAGATAAGGAAAATACATTATCATTAAAATAGCAACAAGATGGGTAAGCATAGGCACATAAAAAGAAAAGGAAAAGCTATAAGATGTACACTATTTTTGAAGAAATTATGGAAACCAAAGACAATGGAATAAAATTTTTTAAAATTTTTAAAGAAAAAAAATGCCAATCCATAATACTATCAACAGATAAAATATTCTTCAAAAATAAAAATGAAATAAAGATTTTTTTCCAACTTTTAAATTCAGGGGCACATGTGTAGGTTTGTTACATAGGTAAATGTGTACCATATTGGTTTGCTACACCCATTAGCTATTTTTTTCTGATTCCCTCCCTTCTTCCATTCCCCACCCTCCAAAAGGGTACAAATACAACATGGAATACTTTGCAGCCATAAAAAGGAAGGAAATCATGTCCTTTGCAGGGACATGGATGGAGCTGGAAGCCATTATACTCAACAAACTAACACAGGAACAGAAAACCAAATATCACATGTTCTCACTTAAACGTGGGAGCTAAATGATGAAAACATATGGACACATGGAGGGGAACAGCACACGCTAAAAATTTTTTATTAAGCCGAGGAAGTTCAGAAGCAGCAGATTTCCACTAAAAGGGGAAAAATAATAGCAAGTATGCCTCAGGAAAAAGAAAAGAATGAAGAGTATCAGATAAGGTAAATAATGTAATCATTTATAAATAAATATAATTTAAATATTAAATGATGATTATAATGATATCCTATTAGGTTCAATATACATGTAGAAGTTAAACATATGAAAACAGTAGCACAAAAGGAGGGAGTAGGGAATGGCATTAAATATTTAAAGATTCCCATATAGTTATAGAAGTGGCAAAGGTATTAACTTTTTTTAAAAAGCAAATGTTTAGTAATTAAGCATTACACTTTTAAATAACCCTATGTCAACTACAAAGGTCCACAAGAAAAATTAGAAAAGTTTTGTTTTGAAAGTTAACGAAAATGTGACTTTCAAAACTGGTGCATTGACACTAAAGCAATAATTTAAGGAAAAATTTACCCATGTAAGTATACGTATTGTTAAAAACCAATGTAAATGAATGCTCCAAGCTTTCATTTTATGAGACTAGAAGTAATAACAACAAAGTAAAAGTAAACACTAGAAAGAAGAAGAAAATAAAATTAAGGGAGATAGCCTCAAATATCAGTACAACAGTCAATAAGTTTCTTCAAAGAAAAACATATAATCAATTAGAAATGATAAATAAGGAAAAATTAAAATATAAGACATATATTTAGAATAAACATTAAGATGAAAATGCATCTTCTGAGGAAAGCATGCTTTTAAATAGAAAATTTGTTAAACTTGGAAAACATTCTATTTTGTAATTACGTCAATTACTTCAAATTTAAGAGCAAATTCAATTATGAGCTCTTGGGGCCCTAGAATGCTTATCCCGTTGCACCTGGACTGGCTGTCCTTGCTCCTTAACTTCCAGATGGCCTATTGAGGGGCTTTGTGATCATGTGAGTTAATACTTAATAAACTCCTTTTTTTTTTTTTTTTTTTTTGAGAGATGGAGTTTCACTCTTGTTGCCTAGACTGGAGTACAATGGCGCGATCTCGGCTCATCGCAACCTCCGCCTCCTGTGTTCAAGCGATTCTCCTGCCTCAGCCTACTGAGTAGCTGGGACTACAGGCGCACGCCACCATGCCTGGCTAATTTTGTATTTTTAATAGAGATGGGGTTTCACCATGTTGGTCAGGCTGGTCTTGAACTCCCGACCTCAGGCAATCCGCCCACCTCGGCCTCCCAAAGTCCTGAAATTACAGGCGTGAGCCACCACGCCCGGCCTACTCCTCTTTGTATATATATCTATCCTATTAGTTCTGTCCCTTTAGAGAACCCTGACTAACACAGGTCACTTATGAGATCTAACTGGCTCTGCCTGCTCAGTTATTCTTCAGACATGGTCTCGATTTTAATTTACTTTAACATTGTGCCTATGTCCCGACACAACGTTGAGGAGGATGAGAGATACCACTAGTGATATGCTTCTCCCAAGAGAATCTTTAGCTCTGGCATTGGAACTGGGAAGAGAGAAAGTCTTTGTTTACTTGGCTGCATTTGCTCAAAGAAGCTAATGGGGCTGGGAGGAGTAATACTATGGACTGAAAGTTTGTGTTTCTTCCAAATTCGTATGTTAAAGCCTAATCCCCAACATGATATTTGGAAGTGGAGCCTTTGAAAGTTAATAAGGTGATAAGGGTGGAGAATGAGAGATTAAAGCCCTGAATTTAAAAAAAAAAAAAAAAAAAAAAAAAAAAAAAAAAAGAGAGAGAGAAAGAAAAAGACACAGGATCTTGCTTTTGCTCTCTACCATGCGAGAATATAAGACAGCCATCTGCAAACCAGACGTCAGATATGCTGAAACCTTGACCTTCCACTTACCAGGCTTCAGAAATTTGAGAAATGAGTGTTTCTTGTTTAAGTGCCTCAGTCTATGATAACTTGTAGCGAGAAGTTATTTAAGATAAGTAAGGTATCAGGTTGTGACTCAAATACCACAGAATCTAGCTATTGTTAGCAATATTAAGTATATTTTCTTAAATGAAGGATTCTCCATTTACCATATGCCCCTTGGATAATTTCCAGAGAATTTAATTTTTTAAAAGGAATTTTCACCAATTAAATTATTGTTTTGATCAAAAGAGGACCCACTGAACACCTTATTCATTATTAAAATGTATCATAAAACTTAATTATGGAGCTGGGTACAGGGGCTCATGCCTGTAATCCCAGCACTTTGGGAGGCTGAGGCAGGAGGACTGCTTGAGTCCAGGAGTTTGAGACCAGCCTGGGTAACATGGTGAAACCCTGTCTCTACAAAAAATACAAAAAATTAGCCAGGTGTGGTGGCACATGCCTGTAGTCCCAGGTACTTGGGAAGCTGAGGTGGGAGTATCACTTGATCCTGGAGGTTGAGGCTGCGGTGAGCCATGAGCGTGCCACTGCACTCCAGCCTAGGCAACAAAGTAAGACCCTGTCTCAAACACACAAATAATCAATAACCGTATTGTGACACTTGAATAGTTGAAAATAAATACTTGAAAGAACAATGAACAAAGAAAAATCAAATTAGGAAGTAGAGCCTTTAACACATAAAATATATGATAATGACATATGATAATGACATTTCAAGTCAATGAAAAGTTTAATTATTCAAAATTGGCTTTCACTATTTATTAAAGTAAAAACAACTCCAATATTTTTACCCCATTTACTAACACAAGTTTCAGATTTGAATCTTGGCCCTAGTGACTTAAGCCATGGCCAACACTGAATTAAAATGAAAACAAAAACAAATGAAAATACCCTTTTATGAGTTTCTCCAACACTTGCTTTGTCTGTTGATTCAGTGATAGACTTTGAGCTTCTAGCTGAAGGAAAAGCTTTTAAATGAAAGAAGCTTGGATTTCTGAATGCCTGCCTATGCCATCTTCCAATCAACACACAAGGATCTGTAATTTAATGGACAAATAAGCTCCTCTTGTATTAAGTCACTTGGATTAAGAGGTTACTTATGACTGTTAGCAGTTCATTAATAATACACAGTTATAAAGGCAGTTGAGTTATAATAAACAAAGTCATTTTGGATTATAGTTTTTCAAATATGTAAGGATAAGACAAATTATATGTTGACAATCCAAAAACATAAAGAGGGAGGCAAGTTGTATGTACATCCTGAGAAACCAAAGTGTAGAAGGCGTAGGCATCTGTACTGGACATTTTTCACTTTCAGCTATTGTGTTAGGCCATTCTTGTGTTGCTATAAATAAATGCCAGTGGGTGGGTAATTTATAGGAGGTTTAATTGGTTTAGGATTCTGTAGGCTGTAAAGGAAATACAGCAACATATGCTTCTGGGAAGGTGTCAGGAGGCTTACAATCATGGTGGAAAGCATAATGGGAGCTGGTGTCTCACATAATAGGAGTAGGAGCAAGAGAGAGAGTGGGAGCAGGGGGTAAGTGCTACACACTTTTAAATGACCAGATCTCATGTAAACTCAGAGCAGGAGCTCACTTATCACCAAGGGGACGGACAACACCATTCATCAGGGATTTGCCACCATGATCCGAACACGCCCCACCAGGCGCCACTGCCAACAGTGATTACATTTCAACATGAGATTTGGGTGAGGACAAATATTCAAACTATGTCAACCTTTCTTTGTAAGTATAGGGACTCTGATAGTATCCATTAATTCAGAAAATATTGTGTGCTAACTTCATGCCAAACATTTTTGCAGCTTTTAGAAATAAAGTGGGGGGGATGGTGAAGAGAAGGTTTATATTAATGGTGGTGGAAAAGAAACTATAAATATTCACAGAATGAATTATGTAAATATGTAATACATCAGATGGTAAAGAGTAATGGAACATTTATGAAAAACATATAAAGTAATAGAGACTAACGGGTAGGTAGGAGGCAGCTAGATGCTATTTTAAGAGAGGTAAACAGGGAATATTCCTCTGATAAACTGATCTTATATAGAGGCCTGAATGAAGTAAGGAGGGAAGCCATGTGTATTTAGAGAATCCTAACTCACAATATAGATGCTAAAAGTCCAGTTGATTGCTCTTTCTATAATCCTTTAGTTTAATCTTGGGCATACAACTGTAGCCCAGTCAACTGGATGCTTATACCTGAAGCTTTGAACTTGGAACAAGTAACACAGAAGATAACTTTTTAAAAATAATTTCAACTTTTATTTTAGATTCAGAAGGTACATGTGCAGGTTTGTTCCATGGTTCTATTGCATGGTGCTGAAGTTTAGAATACAAATGGTCCCATCACCCAGGTAGTGAGCATAGTACACAATAGGGAGTTTTTCAGTCCTTACCTTCCTCCCTCTCTGTCTCCTCTAGTAGTCCTCAGTGTTTATTTTCCCCATCTTTATTTCTATTTGTACCTATAAGTGAGAATGTGTGGCATTTAATTTTCTGTTCCTGCATTAATTAGCTTAGGATAATGACCTCCAGCTCCATTTATGTTGTTGCAAAGGAGATAATTTTATTTCTTTTAATGGCTGCATAGGATTCCACAGTGTATATGTATAACATTTTCTTTATCCAATCCACCATTAATGGATGCCTACAACCTACATTGATCCTATGTCTTTGCTATTGTGAATTGTTCTATGGAAGTCCTAACCAGAGCAATCAGGCAAGATAAAGAAATAAAAGGCATCAAAATAGGAAAATAAATCAAATTATCTCTCTTGTCAAATGATGTTTCTATACCTGGGAAATCCTAAAGACTCTACCAAAAGATTCCTATAACTGACAACTTTAATAAAGTTCCAGAATATAAAATCAATGTACAAAAATCAGTAGCATTTCTTTACATCAATAACATTCAAGCTGAGAGCCAAATCAGGAATGCAGACCCATTTATGAGAACCATAAAAATACCTAGGAATATGGCTTACCAAGAAGATAAGAGATCTCTACAAGGAGAAGTACAAAACACTGCTAAAAGAAATCATAGATGACACAAATGAAAAAGCATTTTATATTCATAAATCAGAAGAATCAATATCATGAAAATGGTCATACTGCCCGAAGCAACCTACAGAGTCAGTGCTATTTCTATCAAACTGACAGTTTCATTTTTCACAGAATTAGAAAAAAACTATTCTAAAATTAATATAGAACCAAAAAGGAGACTGAATAGCCCAAACACTCCTAAGCAAAAAGAATAAAGCCAGAGGAATAACATTATCTGACTTCAAACTATTCCATAATGCTACAGTAACCAAAACAGCATAGTACTGGTGCAAAAAAAAGGCATATCAACCAATGGAATAAACTAGAGAATTATTTGATCTTCCACAAAGTTGACAAAAGTAAGCAATGTGGAAAGAACTCCTTATTCTATAAATAATGGTACTGGTATAACTGGCTAGACATATGGCAAAGAATGAAATTGTACTTCTATTTTTCCCCATATACAAAAATTAATCAAGATAAAGATTTAAATATAAGACCTAAAACTATAAAAATCCTAGAAGAAAATCTAGGAAACACCATTCTGGATATTGGCCTTGGAAATAATTTCTGGCTAAGTCCCCAAAACCAACTGCAAAAAAAACAAAATTTACAAGTGAGACCTAATTAAAGAGCTTCTCCACAGAAAAAGAAACTATCAAAAGAGTGAATAGTCACCCCACAAACTGGGAGAAAATATTCATAAACTATGAATCTGATAAAGATCTAATATACAGAATCTATAAGGAACTTAAATAATTGAATTAGCAAAAAACCAAATAACTTCATTAAAAAGTGGGCAAAGGATATGAACCTATACTTCTCAAAAGAAGAGCACAATGTATTAATTACTCCAAAGACAAAATTGCTGTCCAGTATCCAGAGGCAGCAGCTATGGTACCAATGATCAAGCAGCCCCTGAGGTAGGGCGTTGGCTGTGATTCTGACTTCCTAGCACCCCTGTTTCTGATTTTTTGTCATGAGATTTTTGCAATACATAACATTCTGTGAATTTTTGTTTTTTGCTCAAGTTACTAAGAGATAACATGATTGTATATTTAGAAAACCCCATCGTCTCAGCCCAAAATCTCCTTAAGCTGATAAGCAACTTCAGCAGTCTCAGAATACAAAATCAATGTACAAAAATCACAAGCATTCTTATACACCAATAACAGACAAACAGAGAGCCAAATCATGAGTGAACTCCCATTCACAATTGTTTCAAAGAGAATAAAATACCTAGGAATCCAACTTACAGGGGATGTGAAGGACCTCTTCAAGGAGAACTTACAAACCACTGCTCAATGAAATAAAAGAGAATACAAACAAATGGAAGAACATTCCATGCTCATGGATAGGAAGAATCAATATCATAAAAATGGCCATACTGCCCAAGGTAATTTATAGATTCAATGCCATCCCCACCAAGCTACCAATGACTTTCTTCACAGAATTGGAAAAAACTACTTTAAAGTTCATATGGAACCAAAAAAGAGCCCGCATTTCCAAGACGATCCTAAGCCAAAAGAACAAAGCTGGAGGCATCACACTACCTGACTTCAAACTATACTACAAGGCTACAGTAACCAAAACAGCATGGTACTGGTACCAAAACAGAGACATAGATCAATGGAACAGAACAGACCCCTCAGAAATAATACCACACATCTACAACCATCTGATCTTTGACAGACCTGACAAAAATAAGCAATGGGGAAAGGATTCCCTATTTAATAAA
Organism: Homo sapiens; assembly: GCF_000001405.40. Taxonomy (NCBI): domain Eukaryota; kingdom Metazoa; phylum Chordata; class Mammalia; order Primates; family Hominidae; genus Homo; species Homo sapiens. The sequence continues at coordinate 163,990,521 of NC_000003.12, read as the reverse complement.
TGGTGCTGGGAAAACTGGCTGGCCATATGTAGAAAGTTGAAACTGGATCCCTTCCTTACACCTTATACAAAAATTAATTCAAGATGGATTGAAGACTTAAATGTTAGACCTAAAACCATAAAAACCCTAGAAGAAAACCTAGGCAATACCATTCAGGACATAGGCATGGGCAAGGACTTTATGTCTAAAACACCAAAAGCAATGACAACAAAAGCCAAAATTGACAAATGGGATCTAATTAAACTAAGGAGCTTCTGCACAGCAAAAGAAACTACCATCAGAGTGAACAGGCAACCTACAGAATGGGAGAAAATTTTTGCAATCTATTCATCTGACAAAGGGCTAATATCCAGAATCTACAAAGAACTCAAACAAATTTACAAGAAAAAAACAACCCCATCAACAAGTGGGTGAAGGATATGAACAGACACTTCTCAAAATAAGACATTCATGCAGCCAACAGACACATGAAAAAATGCTCATCATCACTGGCCATCAGAGAAATGCAAATCAAAACCACAATGAGATACCATCTCACAACAGTTAGAATGGTGATCATTAAAAAGTGAGGAAACAACAGGTGCCGGAGAGGATGTGGAGAAATAGGAACACTTTTACACTGTTGGTGGGACTATAAACTGGTTCAACCATTGTGGAAGACAGTGTGGTGATTCCTCAAGGATCTAGAACTAGAAATACCATTTTACCCAGCCATCCCATTACTGGGTATATACCCAAAGGATTATAAATCATGCTGCTATAAAGGCACATGCACACGTATGTTTATTGCAGCACTACTTACAATAGCAAAGACTTGGAACCAACCCAAATGTCCATCAATGATAGACTGGATTAAAAAAATGTGGCACATATACACCATGGAATACTATGCAGCCATAAAAAATGATGAGTTCATGTCCTTTGTAGGAACATGGATGAAGCTAGAAACCACCATTCTCAGCAAACTGTCGCAAGAACAAAAACCAAACACTGCATGTTCTCACTTATATGTGGGAATTGAACAATGAGAACACGTGGACACAGGAAGGGAAACATCACACACCGGGGCCTGTCGTGGGGTGGGGAAAGGGGGGAGGGAAAGCATGAGGAGGTATACCTAATGTAAATGAAGAGTTAATGGGTGCAGCACACCAACATGGCACATGTATACATATGTAACAAACCTGCACGTTGTGCATATGTAACCTAGAAATTAAAGTATAATAAAAAAAAAAAAAAAAAACAAATAAAAGAACCTTAACAAGGCCGAGTGCAGTGGCTCACACCTGTAATCCCAGCATTTTGGAAGGCCGAAGTGGATGGATCACGAGGTCAGAAGTTCAAGATCCGCCTGGCCAACATGGTGAAACCCCATCTCTACTAAAAATACACATGCCTATAATCCCAGCTTCTCGGGAGGCTGAGGCAGGAGAATTGCTTGAACCGGGACCTGGGAGGCGGAGGTGGTAGTGAGCCGAGATCGCGCCACTGCACTTCCAGCCTGGGCTACAGAGCAAGACTGTCTTAAAAAAAAAAAAAAAGAAGAAGAAGAAGAACTTCAATAGCTAAATCTTTTTAATTTACATATGATCCTTATATGTCAATGAGGAAAAATAAGTGATTTGACAAAACTCATTATAGAATGCATATATTAAGTCCTTTTGATGATGAAATTCTTATAATGGAGGACAAATAAGAAGAAATGTTGTAGGAAAATCCGGGTTCTTGTCACACAACCAAGAAAGATGAGGCTCACAGACACTTTGAAGAAGGGTGAGAAAGGCAGGGTTTATTGGAGGGGAAAGGGAAACGGAATCCTAGCAAAGAGAGAGTCCTGCTAGCAGGCTTCTGCCCTCACAGATTGAATCCCTAGTTACTACCCAGGAACAGGAGAGACCAGACTTCTTCCCCTTGAAAATGGCATGAATGAACTTCTGTGGTTCCACCTCCTTCTCCCAGTGCACAGACCAGTTGGAGATTCTCCAGGGACCTTCCCCTTTTTACTTGGCTCTCTCAGAAACACAAAAATTATTAGAATAAACATAAAATTTAAGGAATTTTTTTGTCAAAGAACTCATGAAAGAAGTGAACTTCAAGAAGAAAATTATGCTCAAACGTGATAGTTACAAATACACCAAAGATAAAAATTTTAAAAATAATAATTACTTTGGAACACAATAAGAAATCATTATTAGTAAACATCTGGTTAATAGATTCTGAATCGTAGCCACCTATTTAGTTACAACTTAAGTGAATAATCAATAGATACTAGATGTCTGAAAGCCACATCTGGTGTGAATCTAATGTAATAGAGATAATTGAAATTTAGCATTCCTTTTCTTCGTATAACATCTGATGGCAGACTGCCTTTACATGTTTTAGATGTGTGTAGAACATATTTGTTAGGAACACATTTTACTTAAAATTACATTGTTTCAAAAACCTAAGTTTGAGAACAAATCTCCTACATGTTCTATAAAAGCAAATAGTTGGGGGACAACCAGTGTGCCTATTTAGGACCAGATTATTTATGGAGCGGTCCCTTGGTTTAGTTCACAACTAAACACGAAAGGGGATAGAATGGACAATGGGGTTGGTGCAAGAAGTCAAAGCTATGACTATTCCTGTGACTGAGTGAAAATCACTACAAAAAGACTAAGAATTTTACTTTGTGAGGAGACACCTTCATTTATTCAGCAAATAGCCTCACCGCTTGGTTGTTCTCTTCTTATTCAGTGTCAATTGAACTCTAGAAGCGAAAGATTTCAGAGAAAACTAATCTATGTCTGACAATTTAATGTGAGAATTGTAAGCACTTCTGGGAAAGTTAATACTACAGGAAAAAATTTTAAAAACAGCTAGCCTTCCCTAGCTGGGAAACACCTCACTGTCAAAAAAAAAAAAAAATGTTTTGAGTATGGTATGAATGAAGAAGTCAGTGATTAGGAATATACACTGGGCAATATCTATAAAAAGCAGCTTAGCTCAAGGAACCACTGGCTCATTGTAGAAAAAAAATAATTTAATAATTATACTACTAGACACTAGTTTTTTCCACCTTCTTTGTTTCAAGGAGGACAGTAAGGACTAAGGAGGTAAAATGATATTATGAAGAATTTCTACCATGGTTGTTAAAGGATCTAAGTTTGTAATCAGGTAACACTAGATATTATTATTTAGAGTTGTATACATAGATGATATTATGAAAGAAAACAAATATTATTCCAATATTTTTGGAAGGGGGGTTTATTTTTTTAAAACAAACAAAACAAACAAAAAACAATCCAGGAGCTTCTTAGATTGTGGCAATTTTATGATCTTGACTTAGAGAGTGATCAGGTGGTTGCTTTTTTTCTAATTGTTTATTACATTAGGTATTTATGGTTCATGTTCTTTTATTTCTGCATGTTACATTGTTTGAAAACACATTGAAAAAATATTTGGGAGACATTATTATGATGTAATTTGGTGGTCATTAAAGGTTTTTCCGCAGAGAGTAATAGTATGCGATTTATATCCGGCTGTAGATTCCTCTGGTGGTACATGAAGAATGGCAGAAGTGGGGCCAAACAGGAAAAGAAGTAGACAATGCTGTAATAATAGTGGAGATAATAGAGACAATAAGAACATTTGAAAAAGATTTTAGGAATAAAATCTGTAGAAGTAATGATTGATTCATTACGTGAGTGAGGAAATGTAAAGAGTCAAGAAAATTGTGTGCAATCAGGCTTGAAGTTGTGATGCTATTCCTGAGACAAGAACAGGCTGAAAGCACCATGGCAGGGGAAGAGAGTGATGAGTTTATTGTGATGTGAACTTGATTTGAAGTACCTGTGATATTTCTTAGATACTTGGGTAGGGGGTTGATGAACAGAACAAAGATTTTGGCTAAAAGATATTTAAGAAGTGCCTGTATGGCAAAGAGAGTCAAAGACAATAGATGAGATTGCCAAGAAAGATAAAATAATAAAAATATAAAATAAAAGGACCAAGTATAAATTACCTTGTATATGGAAATTTAAAGAGTCTAGATGAAAATGAGATTGCAAAGTTCATTGATAAAATGTAGATAGAATTATAAGGGGAATATCAGAAAAGAGTGATAATAATTAGGTATCATTTCAAAGAATTGCCTAACTAAAATACAGATGCGTGATAGATACATGGAAGAGTGAATAGATAGATAGATAGATAGATAGATAGATAGATAGATAGATAGATATAAACTTATAATTTTTGTTAATGTTTGTTTTCAGGGTCTGTGCATGTGCTGTATCTTTAGTCTAAAATAATCTTCTTCACTTATTTTACACTATTAAATCCTAATTACATTGTAAACTCAGGCTTAATGATACACACACCTGGAAATATTTTCTGACCCTGCAAAATGATATACCTGACTTTCTTGTATTTTTTTTAATTTATCCATATTTGTTCTTAACTCACTATACTATATCCAACAATAGCCCCATCCATTTCCTTCAATAAGGAAGCCTGCAGTATTAGAGGAGATATCTTTCTTATCTCACTTAATTCGATATGCGAGGCATACACTACACATTCGATTTGCATAATTACTACTGTTTGACATTTTTAAAGAAAAGTATTGCTTTGGTATTAATGTTTGGGTCCCCTCAAAATTTATATGTTCATGTATTTATATTTTATCAGATAAATTTCCCATTAGAGCTCATGGTGAAAACGTTTTTATTAATAAAACATTTTTTTTAGTTTTTACTCATTCTGTTTTTAGATTCTTTATATTTTAGTTTTATGATTCATACATTTGAATCAACTAGAATTTGACACAAGGGTAAAATTTTACTGCTTAGTTTAATTAGTCCTTTAAGTGTTTAATAAAGCATCATTTTCTTAGTGATCTGAAATGGTAACTTGGTCACGTTATCACTCTGTTTCCTTATACTTCAGTCTCTTTTGATTTTTCTTCTGCTTTTCACAAATTTTACTTCCTTTTTTTACATTTTAGAGATTATGTCTTTAATATAAATCAATTAAAGTCTCAAAATGTCTGCTTAATCTAGTTTAAATTACGTTACATGAAACATGTCAAATAATGCTCCCCTGAATAGACTTAAAATTTTTGAGTGACAATTTGACACTGTCTAATAAAATTATTTGAAGTTTTTATCCTTTCATTTAATTCCGCTTGGAGAACTTTGTTACATTTGCAAGACTGGCCAAAATATATTCATGTTAAGTTTGGTATTCATATCAACATCAAGTGGATATATTTTTAAATGATCCATCATATATAAATTTTAAACACTAATGTTGCCCTGCACTGAAAAGACATGCTGAAACTAGGACAGGTTGATAATTAAACATTTTTTTTAAATCCAAATTAATAAGTTTAAAGAGACAAAAAATATCTGATTTGAATATAATCAAACTATTTATTACTAATGTTCATAATTTAAATATGGCATATCATTGTTAGTTCTTCCCAACAACTGAGTTTCAAGCTGTCTCTAGAACTGACAGCAAGGTAAGTAGGAATTAGTAGGAGCTGAAATTATAGAAATGAATGAATGTATGCATGTGTTTTTACTTGTATGTCTATACTTCTATATTATATGCATATAAGCTAAATAATGAATATATTTTAAAATTATCTTAAAATAAAGCACTCAGGTAATAGATATTCACTATAGAAATAATTTGTAAATAAATATATTGGATTTATTAAAAGCAATTATTAATTTATCTTAGTTTCAGCACATTTTTGTATTGTAGTTTTTTTTGGATTCTACATAGAGTGCATTATAATTACAAGCATCTGTTTACTGTGTTACTTTCAGAGAAATACAATTAATCTTTTGAGTTAGCATCTTAATGGAGACTTTCATTTTCAGTCCAAACTAGGAAATAATAATCACCTAAGAAGAATTTAAAAACTTAACCTTTTTTCTCATCAATATATGAAAACTATCTAATCATTACTTAACATAATACAAAGCAGATTAACAGATTTTATCTGTATTGGAGAAAAACAGTCACTAAAATATGCATATGTAGTGGTAGAAATGTAGTTTTAAAACATCTAAGAATTAAATGAAAACTATTTTGTACAGTATGTTTCCCTACCACAATAATGCTAAAGTTAAAATTTTTTCCAATTTGCATCAAAAATGTTGTTCTTCCTTCCTACGCAAAATTGCAACAATGCTGTAATGTTTGTTTGCTATGTACAAATGATTGTATACTTTGTTTTGCTCTTTGTTCCTGTGGCTACACATGAAACTAGACAAAAATGAGTCCTCATTCTTCTGCTTTCTGCATTTTTTTAACTGCCAAAAGCAAAACTCATCAATTTTAAGACAACGAGAGTTTTCTCTGAGATTTGCAGTGATAGAAAATTGATGAATATGCAAATTACATGCATGTTATGTCCTTGGTTACATCTACGACGTGGACAGAGTCCGCAATTTCAGCTACCTGTTCTTAAGAATTATAGATCCAATAACGTTTATACTTTACCATTTTAAAATCAATGATGCTCCTGAATCTTTGAGGTCAGAAATCTTTTCCGAATTTGTTCCAAAATTTTAAAATTGCTTGTATATATTACAAAGGTTTTTGTTTTCCTTTAGTAGATGTATAAGACAAAATTCTCCCTATATGTAATAGTCAAGAAATGCTTAATAACGTTTATTTGTCTTGACCAATTAATTTATACAGTCTTTTACAAAACATAGAAGAGTTATTTAAGAATAACAAAGTTCATTTGGAGAATTACCCTAAATTTGGAGAATTACCCTACAATTTTACTAAACTTATGCTAAAAAATACAGCAAACCACAAACATCATATGTGAGAGTCCAATGCAAATTTTGACTCTTTTCCTTAAGAAAAAAATAAAATAAAACAAACAAAATAAGAAAATCTTCCCCTGGATAGGAAAAGTCAGTAGTATTTTGGTGGACAAATAATTTATTTCTCCTTGCATGATCTACAGATAGCTTTACTTTCTCCTTCTTTTCTGATAGGCTGGGATGAATAGTTGGTCTCTTCCTAACATTCAATCCCCAAAATCCAGTCTTATTATTTTTTGTTTGAAGATCACATTACTTACAATTTTATTAGCTAGATAGCTAATAAAGTATTCCTTCATTCCAATGGGTTCCATATAATTTTGACTGCCAGCTCTGTTACATATAAACCGTGTATAGCTTCTCTGAATGCCTGTAAGATGTAGTTTTGCTTTTACATGGAAATGCTAGAAAGTTTTTTACCTTAGTTCTCCACTGAGAACACATTTCTCCCATTAGAAACATACTATTATAGCATTACTCAACCCCCATCTTCAGGATCTCATCTCCCCTCCAGCCCTCAGAGCAGCTCAGGTTCTGTTCCTGTTGAGCACCATGTCATGCGGTGTTGTGAACAATCAAAGTTAGACAATGCTTGCACTTTAATCCTGGCGTCCTCCCTTACTTTTTTTGTCAGCCTGTGTAAATTATGTAATTTCTGTAACTCAGTACTCTCATCTCTAAAACAGAATAATTATAGTACCTACCTCATAGCTTTGTTTTAAGAAGCATGTTAAATTAATGGTCTAAATAACTCAGAACTGTATTGTCACAGGATGAGGTATTATTGGACATTTTTTAAATGTCTCCCCATAGCACAATGGTCAACCTAGGCAATTGTTTACATAAAAATCCCACTACAATATAGATAGATATTGTAATGACCTAAATTGCCTACATAATTCAAACATGTTTTAATATGTAAACATTTGCAGTAATTTAATATGCTTTATTTAGATAATGTATGTGTAGCCTCAAATTTGTTCAAATGCAATTGGGCTAAATTTTACTTTGTAAATTTCATAAGAGAAAAAGAGACTGTCACTTCATGAAATTGTACAAATGACAAATTTCAAATCTTAATATTACCAACCTTATCAGTAAAACTCCAACTTTGACATATTTTTAAACACTTGAAATATACACTGTATAAATCAACTCAGGACAGGCAAAGTGACAGCACCTGTGGAATTCACTACCTGTCTTCCCTTGGTAATGAGACTGACTGATAATTCTATGCTCTAAGTATCTAAACTTTACTAATGTGAACCCAAGTCTGTAAATTATATTTTATATGTTGCTGACTGGTAAGCAAATTTGATTTCATGCAAATATTTTGAAGTGGATTAGTTGATGGAGAAACAGCATCTGAATGCCAATAACATGCCTCAATATATAAACAGGATAAAAACTACTTCAATCCATTGGAAAGTGTCAGAATTAATAAAGCAATGTCAAGCTATATCTCCCCCATAGCTGGCCTATATTGACATGAAAAATTATAATGGTAGAAATACAGAACTTTTCAGATATAAATAACCTCACTGATTTATGAAATTTTTATCAGGAACTGGTAACTGAAGAGAAGGGAAAAATCGCTGCAAAGAATTTTATTGCCATCTATTGACAATGGAATTTATGATAAAATGTAAAATCAATTTTCATTATATAATGTTGGAAGTCCTATTTATTAAATAATAACCTATTAGTCTGAAGGAAAAGAATTCTGATTTAGAGAGTATAGATTTGGAGATAATAAATAGATGTTTATACCATCTGTTAAACATCTTAAAAGTTTTTTAGAATGTGGCATATATGCTTTGAACATTTTGTAGCACAACTGTGAAGCCTTTTGGAATGGGGCTGACATTTCTCGTTGAGGGTTAATATTCACTAACATCTCCTGATTTACTATCATAGTTCCTTTCTCAGAAGAGTTACTAGACAGGATGTTATAGTTTCATACTTATTGAATTCCCAAAGATGCCTCTATTTTATAAGCTAAATGATTAAATTTTAATTAAATGATGTGCATATGAGAGTATGTGTGTGTGTGTGTGTGTGTATAGGTAAAATACTTCTATAAAAAGGATTGTAAAAGGCCAACCTAGATCATTTCACAATGTACTTGTATATCAAAACATCAAGTTGAATTCCTTTAATATATACAATTTTTGTCAATTATACCACAATAAACCTGAAAAAAGAAATAAAGAAAGAATAGTCAACCTAATAAGTGGTCTTTCAAGGAATTCAGACAATTGCAATCTTATGTGTAAATAAATCTATTTAATGTTTTTAAAGAAAAATCTGTAGCTATAAGAAATGCTTTAAATATGTGCTAAGCTACCTATCTTTGTATTGGTTTGGCCTTCATTTACCGCTGTCATCTGCTCCAGTGTCTAGTCTTACATTCTATAGATGCCTATTGATATCTACATGCATTAATTTAAATAAACTTAATATCTGCCTGCAAGATATACACAGTCTTATAAAACAAAATTACACTAGGGAGTAAAAGAAAGAGTCAGTGTGGTAAATTATCTTTAACTACAAAATCTTACTTTCACTTGGTCTGCCTGAGTGGTTTAAAATCCTGAGCATATAATTTAGGCCATATTTTCATACCTATTATAGAGGACTAAGATAGAACATGATCCTCTAGGAGCATTGCTTCTTCCAAATATGTGCGGCCATGGCCAAGGGAACAGCTTTATCGAGAAAATAGTTGCAAACAATAAATTATATTAACATAAAGTGGATGCTACCAAGAACATTGGACTAAAATCCTTCCACAATACACATATGTATATTGTCTTCTGCTAATACTTCAATTTCAGAGATAATGCTAATTTCCCATACATTGTATTGTGTTCCATTATGTTGTTACGGGAGTTGTAATTGCTAGCTTAGGTGAAGTGATAATCATGGAAACAAATGATGATCCTAAGCCATTCTAAACCTACTACAGCAAAGTCATTTGAAGTAAACTCTGACAATGAGATTAAATTCCTTTCAGACCTGGGTTAAGACCAAAGGCAAAGAAAGGCTATTGAAAGTGTGCCTATTTTGTCACTGGATGTGGATAAACTATACCTTACAAGAAAGGCTTTCTTTTTTTTTTTTAATTTTCTTTTTTTTTATTATTATTATACTTTAAGTTTTAGGGTACATGTGCACATTGTGCAGGTTAGTTACATATGAAATAAAAAAAATTGACAAATGGGATATAATTAAACTAAAGAGTTTCTAAACAGTAAAAGAAACTATCATCAGAGTGAACAGACAACGTACAGAATGGGAGAACATTTTTGCAATCTACTCATCTGCCGAAGGGCTAATATCCAGAATCTACAAAGAACCTAAACAAATTTACAAGAAAAAAAAACAAACAACCCCATCAAAAAGTAGGCAAAGGATATAAACAGGCACTTATCAAAAGAAGACATTTATGTGGCCAACAAACATGAAAAAAAGCTCATCATCACTGGTCATTAGAGAAATGCAAATCAAAACCACAGTGAGATACTATCTCACGCCAGTTAAAATGGCGATCATTAAAAAGTCAGGAAACAACAGATGCTGGAGAGGATGTGGACAAATAGGAAGGCTTTTACACTGTTGGTGGGAGTGTAAATTAGGTCAACCATTGTGGAAGACAGTGTGGCAATTCCTCAAGGATCTAGAACCAGAAATACCATTTGATCCAGCAATCCCATCACTGGGTATATACCCAAAGGATTATAAATCATTCTACAAATACACACATCCATGTATGATTACTGCAACACTGTTCACAGCAACAAAGACTTGGAATCAACCCAAATGCCCATCAGTGATAGACTGGATAAAGAAAATGTGGCACATATACACCATGGAATACTATGCAGCCATAAAAAAGGATGAGCTCATGTCCTTTGCAGGGACATGGATGAAGCTGGAAACCATCATTCTCAGCAAGCTAACACAGGAGCAGAAAACTAAACACTGCATGTTCTCACTCATAAGTGGGAGTTGAAAAAAGAGAACACATGGACACGGGGAGGGGAACATCACACACTGGGCCCTTTGGTGGGTAGGGAACTAGGGGAGGGATAACATTAGGAGAAATACCTAATATAGATGACCGATTGATGGGTGCAGCAAACCACTATGGCACGTGTATACTTATGTTCCAAACCTGCACATTCTGCACATGTATCCCAGAACTTAAAGTATAATAAAAAGAAAAGAAAAAAATCAAAAAAAAAAAAAAAAAAGGCTTTCACCATGCTAGAAGAGGGTTTTGTTCTTTTGCTAACATAGCTTGTAAAGAACTTCAGTTACTATTTTTGTTTACTTAAAATTCTGGAAATTTTTCTAGCATTTGGTTAAAGCTTTAATAAAATATAATTCAATAAAAATATAAAAGTCACTTTTTTGTGGTAGCTGATTTGATCTACATGATAATAAAGCACACAGATATATGTGTACATGCACGTGTCTATTATGTTATCAGTTTCCTTCCTATGCATTAGAAATAACATATTTTATTGGGTCTTTACCAAATTAAAAATATATATATAGAGAGAGATATATAAATCATGCTAAATGTGCTGTATTCACAGAGTTCACAGGTACATGCCCAACCTCTGATATTTCATCTATGCTTAAGGGCCCAAATGACCCAAAACATTCCTCCATTAGTCTGCCAAGATATCTGAAAAATAAATAGGTATTCCAATTGTAGATATATTATTCCAAACAACAAAAAATACTTTATATATGTATTTTTTCTTTATGAGGTTTTAAAGCTTGGCAATGCTAAGAGTACAAAATAATATGTCAAGTTATTTCTTTGCTTTAATGGAGCTCAGAAATAAGTGAGAGAGTGTCTATAAGGTATACATATGAATATACAATGTACAAATTTTAAAGATAACACTTACTCGAGTACCAGCAATGTGCCAGTAGCTGTGTTAAGCATCAAACATTAAGACATTTTACAGGGGAAGAAAATGAAGCTCCTAAATATTGAATAATTTGATGGAAGTCAAACAGCTATACAAGAGAAGTTCAGACTCAAAGTCAATTAAATAATTCTATGTTTCTATTTTTTTAACCAATCTTTTCTATCTATGAGATGTTTCACATAAGAAGTACATATAGAGGGTTACCAAAATCTATAAACAACATGTTATTTGTGGCAAATAGGAGCCAGTGGCAGATTCTTGGAGGAAATTACATTTCCTATGCACATTGTGAACGATGGAAGCTACAGGCCTTGGAAGGGGCAGTCCTAAACAAAGATAATTTAGTGAATGGTGACACCAATTTCAAACAATAAATGGTAGGTTCAGAAAACACAGTGCCCAATTTTAGGCAGTTTGAATTAATTAATGACTACAGTCACAGACATATTTATATAAATGGCTTGGCTTAACTGTGGAAAGATTGAGTAATTTGACTAAAAGATTGTACTGTATTCTGTGGATGATAAAACTATGCTAAATATGTTTAAATTGTGCTTTTGGTAATATTAATTTTTCACCAGTATGTGAGATGATACTTGAGAAGTTTTATTTAAAATATTTAAAATTACAGAAGACATCCCTATGCAGATGTGATTCATTAGCAAACTTAAAATAGTTTAAATTATCAACCATAGATTTCCTAGGTCACTAAACAGTATGAGGGCAGACTGGATGTGCTAAGATAAGCAATCTGGTGATATTTTCACTTGAGGCAATTGAAAAGCTTGAACCCAGTGATGTTGATATGATTTGGCTCTGTCCCCACCCAAATTTCATCTTGAATTGTAACTCCCACAATTCCCATGTGTCATGGGAGGAACCTGGTAGGAGGTGATTGAATTATGGGGGAGGATCTTTCCTTTGCTGTTCTCTTGATAATGAATGAGTCTCATGAGATCTGATGGTTTTAAAAAGAGGAGTTTCCCTGCACAAATTCTCTCTCTCTTTGCCTGCTGCCATCCATGTAACACGTGACTTGCTCCTCGTTGCCTTCTACCATGATTGGGAGGCTTCCCCAATCGTAAGTCCAATTAAGCCTCTTTCTTTTTTAAATTCCCAGTCTCGTGTGTGTCTTTATCAGCAGCATGAAAAAGGACTAATGCAGATGTTTATTATGATTTTCTCCAGACAAAGTCATGGAGATGACTTTGTCATCATGATTCTTTGAGTTCCATTCTTTCTCCAACAATGATAAAAGCCCAGTCACTGAAATAAGCATTGTGATAGATATAAGTATAGTCATCCATTGCATTGGCCAAAGATTTTACTGGTATTCTTTTGAGAGACTCATGGTTTTGTTCTGATGAGCAAAAAGTAAGTAATATCTGTGGCTATTGAATCATAGTCTCTGGAATAAAAGAAGGAGAAGGGGGCTGGGAATGTTAACTTTTGGAACTTACCAACTGCCATTCCTCTTGTTCACTCTCAACTTCTTTGTTTTTCCTCAAAGACCTTAGTATTAACTATTTCCTCTGCATGTAACACTCTTCAGGTTGACCCTCTTCACTTTATCAGAGAGGGTAACCACAATTTTGACTCCTTGTAGTAGATACAAGTGTTTTTTATTTGTCTATAGCCTGTCTTTCCTAAAAATACCTAAAATTAGGTAACATATATATGGGGGTTACCATGTACTAGACATTGTTCTAAGAATTTTATTTAGAATAACTAATTCAACCATATGAGGGCTGTACAATTATCGTCATATTACAAGTGATATTACTAAGCTACAAAGATATTAAGTAACTTGCTGAAAGTTACACATCTAAAATTTGTAGAGGGTCTGAGACTTAAACACAGGCAAGTGGCTCCAGAATCTATGATCTCAACCACCATGATTTGTTGTCTTATGTAAGTGCTATGAGTATAGAAATTTGTTTTATTTTATTTGATATTGTATTCTTAGCAATCAGAAAAGAGCCTGCATATGATAAGTGACAGATATTTTCAGAATGTGTGAAGGAATTAGAGTGTTAACATGTACTAGGAAAAATGTAGAGGCAAACCCTTATTTAGAAATGTTTATGTCACATTAGGACATGAAAAATGAATCTGAATAAAAATGATAGCCAAGACACTAACCTATCATGAGGGGCAAAGAGCTTTGCTAATTGCCCTGTGAAAAGAAAGTGGAAGTTAGTACCAGAATCTTGAGACACTAAAACTATACTTATAATTTCTTATGTGTACATCTTATTAATTATTCAATTTTTGTTTATAGTTAAATAGACTGTGTTAGTTTTCTAAGTATCTTTTTCATTGGATAAATAAATATTCAGCCCTAAAAAATTGATCAGGTATTTTAAAGAGAGATATCTGAACATGGAGAAACCAAGAATATTTGAGATCATTGTTATAAAACTCATAAAATACATTATATTTGAATACTTTACAAAATGATATCAGTTTGTGAACCGCTTTAGACCATTTATCCTCTATATGCTCATTGCATTATTCATTTTATGGTACAAAAATAATATTTCACCTCAATTGTCTTTAAATACTTTTAAATAAAATTATGTTGAAATTGTTTATAACATTTCCCAAATGATATGAATTATTTTCTGTGTTTAAAGCATTCACATTTGGAGAAATAATAATTTTTAAAAATATTCTAATCAAATACATTAAATAATTTTTGTTAAATGTTATTAAAGTTATTAGTAAGAAAATAATATTTTTAAGAGACAAATGATGTATAGAAGTAAATTCATTGAGCCTTATTTCGATTAAGTAAATTGTTATTAAATGGAATCTACAGAGTTCACTGAGAATGAAAAAATATTTTAAAGGCTTACAGAGCTCATGTCCCCAGACCTGGGAATTTTATCTAAAGCTGAAAGTTACCAGACTTTTTTGCAACTAAGAGGTAAGGTATTCTCAAAAAATAATAGCACTCTCCAGGAAATATGTTTACACATTTTATTTTCTATTAACATAAAACTTTCAGATCACTGTACAATCATCGGTTACTTCCTTCACAAGGACTAGTTTCTGCACGGAACTCTCTTCGGTCATAGGATTTCTGAGAGTCTTAAGTTTTGAAATTTACAGTAGACCTTAAAGATAAAGCATGACTTTTTCAATATAGAGAGGAAATGTTACTGTTTGGAGGCTAGGTTTAAGAGGAAAGTATATTATTTAGGGATTGTGGTAATAGGAACATATGACTGGAGTCACCAAGATCAATATAAGTTGGTAAGTAAAATAATGCTGTAAAAACTAAGGTAGAGACATCATTTCTGAAAAGATATTGTCAGCCACAGGGCTAATGTACTAAAGCTGTGTGACTATGGCTGGTTTTTGGGAATTGGAGTGAAGATAATAAACTGTAGCTAGAGTAGGTTCTTTGTTTTAAGAATAACATTTTCCAAACTGCTCATTTTGATATATGTCATCTTTTCTTCCATAGGCAAAACAAGAGCTCTTTGAAAATTCAGGCTATATACCATGCTCCCAGTGAAACACCTAATTTACTAGAACAAAGACAAAATAGGTTTCAACAAAAATACAACACTTCTCTTTTGAGCAATTTTTGTTTTACTGGATGTTCCTACTATTAAAAATTATAGCAGTTTCTGATATTAGTAACTATGCAACTTCACAAGTAGGGTTTAAGAATATACTGAAATAATTCATAAATAAATTGCTCTTCTATTTTGTTCACCCAACAAGAACAAGATATTTGATAGAAAATAGAAGTTGTGATAGTGAAAATATATGAAAGGATTAGGAGAGGTGGGGGATCTTATGTTCTTGCTCTGGATCTGAACTAACTTGCTTGATTTTCTATAAATAATTTTGTTATTTTTGGACCAAAGTTGTATTTTTAAAATCTCTTAAATACACATACATTAAAAAAAATCTCAAGGGGATGTTGTAGAAATTAAAACTATATTAAAAATTAAAGAAGATACAAATGTTGATCCATATTTTGTTGAATACATTTACACATTTTCAAATATTACCTGGAATCAATCTATACCTCTTTAAATAATCTCTCTCAAATATCTTTCCCTATAATTCCATTAGAACAGCACCTCCATCACACATTTGTCAGCCCTGCTTCCCAATAATTCTCTGGTGAACACATTCCCCATTTCAGTTTGTTTTCTGCATTATTTATAAGTTTATCTGTTCTAACAAGTAATCGAAACTGCTCTGAATATATCCATTATTCCTTTCACAAAATGAATCGTGAATCTTTTACTACAGCATTCAGATGGCTCAACATTTAATTCCAGTTTTTATGTTAGTGCATCTCATTTTTGTCCTTACCAGGTTGTGGAAGGAAGCTAATTTTAAGGGCACGCACACTTGGGTAAGTAAGGAGGTGGCTTGCCTGCAAGAGGGAACTAACCAATCTAAACTCTGAAGTTTCCCTGAAGCCTAGTGGTTTCAACATCTTTGTGTGCTTGAAACCCAGTGAGTACCTCCTCCCCACCGCTTGGGAAGCTTTTTCTACTCCCCACAGTCTGATAGGACTATCAGTCCTTTCGAGCTTTGAAATTTCCAGCTCAATTCTGCCATCCAACTATACTCTCTAGTAGGAATACCCTTTGACTTCCCCCTTATCAAGAGCGATGGGGGAAGGGAAGATAAAATGTTATTTCTCCATGAATCATTGCAAAATCTACCATTTGGAATTAATCTTCTCTGTATTTCCTTACTACTTTTATATAAAACTTACTATTATCTTATATTTTGACTATCCAGTGACTTTCATATCTGTCTTTTTCTCATCATATTGAGATAAATCCAAGGAAGGCTCATGTTTTCCCTATTCTTTGATCTCACACAGTGCCTGGAATTGGGTTCTTTTGTGGCACACACAATATGTATTTTGTCCAATTGTCTGGAAAGCAGACTAAACAAACATCTACACAGAACTGTTGTGGAGACAGGGCGCGGTGGCTCACGCCTGTAATCTCAGCACTTTGGGAGGCCGAGGCAGGCAGAGATCACCTGAGGTCGGGAGTTCAAGACCAGCCTAACCAACATGAAGAAACCCCCTCTCTACTAAAAATACAAAAAAAAAAACTAGCCGGGTGTGGTGGCACATGCCTGTAATCCCAACTACTCAGGAGGCTGAGGCAGGAGAATTGCTTGGACTTGGGAGGCTGAGATTGTGGTGAGCTGAGATCGCGCCATTGCTCTCCAGCCTGGGCAACAAGAGTGAAACTCTGTCTAAAAAAAAAAAAGAACTGTTGTGGAGAAGTCTGAGGTCAACATAACTTGTATACCTTTGTAGAAAATTGTGCTTTCCACTTTGGTTTTTGAATTATTATTTATTTTCCATTTCTGTTCAGAAGTTTCACGGTAATGAGTATCTTTGTTACTTTGTGTTCATTTTGACTGAAATCTAGAGATAATTATTTATCTACACATATCAGACACTTTTAGCTTACGAATGTTTACTTCCAGCAAACTTTGAATTTATTTCTGTTACAAATGCTCTGAACTTCTGTTGAATATTAATTATTTACATATGTCTGGTATCTCATTTCCATATCTTTCATATCAAAATTCTCCAACGCCACCACCACTCCCTATCACGTTATGCACATGATCAGTGCTCAAATAGTAGAATGACTGAAAGAACTGTACAATTAAGACAGTCTAATTTTTTTCAAGAAATACAATAAATTGAAGTCAATAAACGTTATTTCTGCAAATATTTAAACTTACAATAGCTCCATCGATTCATTTTTCTCAGAAAAAGTCAGGAAACTTTAATTTTGCATGATTCACCTTTCAAATTATTTAAAACAATAAAATATGCATATTTCTAAAATGCCCAACATTAGTCAAGTGAAAACACTTAATGTTTCTAAAATGGTTCAGTCTACATTACCACAATTTCCAAAGGGAGTTATTGGAAAACAGAGCAACTTAGAGCTCTTAGTACTATTAATAAGTTTCGCTAATAGGAGACTCATTCCAATCTAAATTATTAAGGTATTTATCACTCTTACCATCTAGAAGCTATTGTAGCAGCTAACTTGAAACATATTGGCTTGTCTCTACTTTGTTGCTAGTAGCTAGAAATGCATATTATCATGAATATTATCATTATTAAAACTCTTACAGTTGCTGTCAGCAGGGAGAATTTGAAATGGTCATGGGACAATAAACTGTCACTCCAACAGAAACTGCCCCTTGATCATATAAGCCTGCGGAGAAATACTAAATCCAGATGCTGCTGTGGTCCACAGCAAAAGCTGATATATTTGTCAGTTTGGTAGGATATATCAATAATACATTCTTAAAAATAATTGAAAACAATATAGAGCGTATTGGTTATTTACTTCTGCATAACAAATTACTCCAAAACTTAGTGGATTAAAACAAGAACACTTAATTTGTTTGTGATGTTGTGATGTTGTGGACCAGAAATTTGGACTGGACTCAGCTGAGAAGTTCCACTGGTTACAGGTATGGTCTATTGGTTGGAGGATCATTGGTATTGCTGACCTTAGCTGAGACTGATTCTGCATGGTCCATGGTCCTATATTGCATTAGTTAGTGAAAGCTTTCTCAGCAGGAGGTCTTAGGAAACAACAAAGGATAAATCTCAACACACAAATGATACTGTTCCATTAGTCAAAGCAAGTAACATGACTAAGCTGGAGTCAATGAGGCTATACAATGGTGTTGACACAAAGAGATATGATTCACTGCCCAATATTGTAACAATCTATCACCTATGGTAAGTCATAACTGAATGTTGGGCATATTCTACATTCTAATTGTTTTAGAGAGCACCTTCTTTTAAAAAAAATTACCCTAACATTATTGCAGGTTATTTTTCAGAAGAGAAAACATTATTTAAAAGTATTTATATGTATATTTATAAAAAAAATTTTCTGTAGATTTTATAGCAAAAATGGTCTTTAAGTAGATAAGGTTATTACATCATATACCATAATTTAATAACAATGTTTTGCCTTAATTGCAGAATACAGAAGAGGCCAAATACATATATGTACAAGTAACTCTGTCTCAAAAATTAATGCCTCAACTTTGGTTTACTTTTGTCAAATTTGTTTAGAAAATCATTAATTTTCAAAATAAATAATTATAAATTCAGAATGAATTCTTCTTTGAGACTAAACAGTAGTTTGGTGGTTTTGTAAACTAGTTACAAAAATGTTAGCTTAATTTCTCCACATCCTTGCCAACGACTGCCATCTTTTGTTTTTTGGTAATAGTCATCCTACCAGGTATGAGATGATAAAGCATTGTGATTTTGATTTGCGTTTTCCAGATGATTAGTGATGTGGAGCACCATTTCATATATCTGGTTGTCATTTGCTATGATTTGAGTGTATGTCTTCCTCCAACTTAGAATCCAAGGTGATAGTATGAAGAGGTGGGGTCTTACAGAAAGACAAACATCCCATGTTCTTACTTATTTGTGGGATCTAAAAATCAAAACAATTTAATTCATGGAGATAGAGAGTAGAAGCATGCTTATCAGAGTCTGGAAAGGGTAGTGGGAGGGTGGGGATGGTTAATGGGTACCGAAAAACAGTTAGAAAGGGATACAGTAGTCACTGAGTGGGATTTGCGTTTGGGAGAGTGGTCCAGTGGCCCATGAGCTATGTAGTGGATAGCCAAAGATCCCTCTTGGTGGGCAGGAAGACTGTAAAAGGGGGCCCACACATAAGCCTAAGCTCCATGACCCTGCTCCCTTGGCCCATGCTCTCTTGTCCTATCATATCTTACTTATAATATACAAATTCAAAATAAAATTAAGAACTTCAAAATGGTAGCTGTCTTTATCTTGGTCAAGAAACCAGAGATGATCCACATAGCCTATGAGATTAAGTCTAATAATCAAAATGTCTAATGATAATTGACCTATCTTAGCCATCTTTTCCTTCTTTTATTTTTTATTCAATCTTACTGGGCTTACTAAGTTAGGCACTATGAATACAAAGATACATAAAACAGTTATCTGACTTTAAAAAGTTGCAATAGAATAGGCAACACAACAAGTAAATAAAAGATAACAATGACATACTAATTCCCAAGAGACAGATACCCAATACAACATACAAGGAACTTGACAGCTGTTGAGGTAAGAAAGCTTATGATTAAGTGAAGTATTTTAGTAGCAAGTTGAAGAAGAGAAAGAAAACAAATATGAAACAGAGGATGGCATCAGACCAAAAGCCAAAAGTTATATGACACGGGTTCCTTATTTTCTATGGCTGAATAGTATTTCATTGTGTATATAAACCACATTTTCTTTATTTGTTTGTTGAATGACACTTAAATTGATTCCATATCTTTGTTATTGTAAATAATGCTGTGACAAACACATGAGTGCAGGTATCCCTTTAATATCCTGAACTCTTTTCCTTTCAATAGATATCTAGTACTGGGATTACTGGATTGTACAGTGGTTCTATTTTTAGTTTTTGGAGAAATTTCCATATTCTTTTCCCTAATGGTTGCACTAATTTACATTTCTGCCAAAATGTATAATAGTTTCCTTTTCTTCACATACTCACAAATATCTGTTATTTTTGTCTTTTTAATAATAGCTGTTCTAACTTGGGTAAGATGATATGTTATTGTGGCTTTGATTGCATTATCATGATGATTAGAATGTTGAGCATTTTTTCACATACCTGTGGGTCATTTATATGACTTTTTTTTGAGAAATGTCTATTAATGTTTTTTGCTCACTTTTTAATGGGATTATATGTAGTTTTAATTGTTGAGTATTTTGAACTCCTTGTATATTCTGAATATCAGTCCTCTATTGAAGAATCATTTGCAAATATATTCTTCCATTCAACAGGTTGTTTCTTTATGCTTTTGAATGTTTTCTTTCCTGTGAGGAAGCTTTGACATTTAACATAGTATCATTTGTTTATTTTTGTTTTTGTTGTCTGTGCTTTTGAGACCTTAGCCACAAAAACTTACACTAGATCAATGTATTAAAGAGTTTTCCCTGTTTTCTTCCACCTGTTTTATATGTTCAGGTCTTACATATGTTTCTAATTCATCTTGAGTTGATTTTTGTTATGTGGTGAGACATAGAGGTCTAGTTTTATTCTTCTGAATTTGGATGTCTAGTTTTCCCAGTACCATTTATTGAAAAAACCACCCTTCCTTCACTGAAATTTCTTGGTACCTTGTTGAAAATGACTTGGCTGTTAATGTATGAATTCATTTCTGGGTTCTCTGTTTCGTTCCATTGGTCAGTGTCTGTTTTTATACCAGTGCCATGCTATTATGGTTACTGTAGCCTCATAATATATTTTGAGGCTAGAGAGTGTGATGCCTCCAGCTTTGTTCTTATTGTTCAGGATTGCTTTGGCTAATTGGTTTTTTTTTTTTTTTGGTTTCACATAAATTTTAGAATAATTTTTACTGTATTTGTGAATAATGACATTGGTATTTTGATAGGGATTGTACTGAATCTGTAGTTTGCTTTGTGCAGTATGGTCATTTTAACAATATTAATACTTCTTTCTAAAAATCTATTAATAAAAAATTTTGTTAACATATTTTAATCATTGGATTTTTTTTCATTTTTTATTTTAGGTTTTGGGGGTACATGTGCAGGTTTGTTACATGGTTAGATTCTATGTCGCTGGGGTTTGGTATACAAATGATTTTGCCACCAGTGAGCACAGTACCTGATAGGTTGCTATTGATCCTCATCCTCCTCTCACCCTCCTCTCTCAAGTAGGCATCAGTGTCTATTGTCCCCATCTTTTTGTCCATGTGTACTCAATGTTTATCTCCCACTTATAAGTGAAAATATGAGTCAGCCACGAGTGCATGCATGCCAGAGGAGCAGCAGGTCCCCAAGTGCATATGTGAAGGGGAGTCTGTGGGGGAAATGCCCACTGGTAGGAGATCCTCTGCAAAAGCACTCTGATGGAAGGGTGGGGGCTGCTGACAAAAGAGTTATGGTGGTGGCCACTGGCAAATGCTTCAGAGGATGCAGCCAGGCAGGAATTGCGGGAGAGACTAGCAGACAGGGGGCATTCGGATCAGTCTGGCTCTGTCCCATGGTCAAAACAGCCTTGCGCTCTCCATGCTGGCAGCTAACAAAGACTAAAGCCACCTAGAAGAGTATGGCAAGCTTTGGCCGATGGAAGTCCATGGCTATGCTCCACAGCAGCTATCCCCATGACAAACCTTCTAGGCACTGTGCAGTCTCCAGTTCTGTCTCTGCCAACACTCCGTGCAGTTCTTCCTGTCAATTCAAATGTCCATGGGGATTGTGGGGGTCTCTGCAGCTAGGATTCCAGAGATTGGTGGTGAGAGTGGCCCACTCCATGTATATTTCACTGACCCCTCCCCTAGAAGTTGCTGGGTGCCAGGAATGAATCCTTGTGCTCAGCAAACTTGTACGGGGTTCCTAGCCTTCTTCTGATTTAGCCCCAGGGCCTGTGTCCTCCTTCTATCCACTCTCGATGCCTTCTTTCCTAAGATCTGCTCGCAGTTTGCCCGTCGATTTTATGTTCTGGTATCAGTGGGAGAAGTTCTTCCTGGTTTCTTCTAATCAGCCATCTTGGCTCTTGTATTAATTCTTCTGATTCATAAACATGTGATGTCTTTCCATTTGTATGTCTCCTCTACAATTTCTTTCATCAGTGTTTTGTAGTCTTTCTTGCAGAGATCTTTTACCTCCTTGGTTAAATTAATTTCTATTTATTTTATTGTATTTTACAATTTTTGTGGGTATTGCGAGTGAGACTGCCTTATTTATTTCTTATTGGTGTGTAGAAATGCTACTGATTTTTTTTATTGTTTTTCATCCTGCAAATTTACTGAATTTGTTTATCAGTTCTAAGAGTTTTTGGTGGAGTGTTTAGGTTTCCCAAATGTAAGATTATGGAATCTACAAAGAGGGACAGTTTGACTTACTTCTTTCCAATTTGGATGTTTTTTATTTCTTTCTCTCGCCTGGTTGTTCCAGTTAGGACCTCCAACACTATTTTGGTTAAAGGTGGTGAAAGTGGTTATTCTTGTCTTATTCCAGGTCTTAGAGAAAATGCTTTCAACTTTTCCTTGTTCAGTGTGATGTCAGCTGTGGGTTTGCCATATATGACCTTTATTATTTTGAAATATGTTCCTTCTACACCTACTTTGAGTTTTTAATCATGAAGCGATGTTGATTTATCAAATGATTTTTCCATGTCTATTGAGATGATCCTATTGTTTTTGTCCTTCATTCTGTTGGCATGATATATCACATTTATTGATTTTCATATCTTAAACCATCCTAATACCTCTAGTATAAAGCTCACTTGATCATGGTGTATTAGATTTTTTATGTGATGTTGAATTCAATTTCCTAGTATTCTGTTGATTTTTGTGTCCATGTTCATCAGGGATATTGACCTGTCGTTTTCTCTTCTTGTTGTGTCTTTTTCTGGTTTCGATGTCAGGGTAATGCTGGCTTCACAGAACCAGTTAAAGAGAGTTCCCTCTTCTTCAATATTTTGGAATAGTTTGAGGAAGACTTGTATTAGTTCTTTATACATTTGGTAGAATTTGGCATTTAATGCATCTGATCCTAGGCTTTTTTTTGATAGGAGACTTTTTTGCATATTTTATTTTCTTTTGAGATAGAATCTCACTCTGTCATCTAGGCTGGAATACAGTGGCACGATCACGGCTCCCTGCAATCTCTACCTCCTGGGCTCAAGGCGTACTCCCTCTTTTGCCTCCCCAGTAGCTGGGACTATAAGTATGCACCACCATGCCTGGCTAACTTTTGTATTTTTTTGTGGAGGTGGGGTTTTTCCATCCAGAGTGGTCTTGACTGGACTCAAGCTACCAACTTGCCTTAGCCTCCCAAAGTGCTGGGATTGTAGACATGAGCACCACGCCCGGCTGATGCAAAACTTTATTTCAGATTTAATCTTACTACTTGTTATTGGCCTGTTCAGGTTTTTATTTCTTTTTAATTCAATCTCGGTAGTTTGTATGTTTTTAGGAATTTTCTCATTTCCTCTAGGTTTTCCGATTTGTTAGAGAATAGTTATATACAATATTCTCTAATTACTTTTTATAATTCTGTTGTATCAGTTATATTGTCTACTTATAAAAAATTCAGCTACACTTTTAGATGGAAGGGATACATGTGCAATTTATTACATGGGTATATCGCATGATGCTGAGGTTTGGGGTATGAATGATCTGGCCATTCAGGTAGTGAGTACAGTAACCAACAAGTAGTTTTTCAGCCTTATCTCCCTCCTTCCCCTCTTTTTGGAGTCTCCAGTGCCTGTTGTTCCCATCTTTGTGTCTTTGTGTGCCCAATGCTTAGTTCCCACTTATAAATGAGAATATGTGTGGTATTTGGTATTCTGTTCCTGCATTAATTCATTTAGGATAATAGCCTCTAGCTACATCCATGTTGATGCAAATAACACAATTTCATTCATTTTTTTTTTCTGGTTCTGTAGAATTCCATGATGTATTTTTACCACATCTTCTTTATGTAATCCATCATTGATGGGAATCTAGGTGGATTCCCTGTCTTTGCTATTGTGAATAGTGCTGCAATAAACATATGAGTGCATGTGTCTTTTTTTTTTTGTAGAATGATTTATTTTCCTATGGATATATACCCAGTAATTGGGGGGTCAAATGGTAGTTCTGTTGGTGGCTCCTGCCTGTAATCCCAGCACTTTGGGAGGCGGAAGCAGGTGGATCACCTGAGGTCAGGAGTTCGAGACCAGCCTGACCAACAGGGAGGAACCCCGTCTCCACTAAAAATACAAAATTAGCCAGGCATGGTGGTGCATGCCTGTAATACCAGCTACTCAGGAGGCTGAGGCAGCAGAATTGCTTGAACCTGGGAGGCAGAGGTTGCAGTGAGTTGATTGCACCATCGCACTCCAGCCGAGAGCGAAACTCTGTCTCAAAAACAAGAGCAAAACTCCGTCTCAAATAAATAAATAAATAAATAAATAAAAATAAAAAAATGAATTCCTTGAGATATCCTCAAACTGCTTTCCACAATGGATCAACTAATTTACAATCCCACCAACAGTATATAAGCATTCTCTTTTCTCTGCAGCCTCTTCGGCATCTGTTATATTTTGATTGTTTCCTTTTTAATTTCTAATTTTGTTTATTCAGGCCTCCTCTCTTCTTTTCTTAGTTAATCCCACTAGTGGTTTATCAATTTTTAAAATCTTTTCAATAAACTAACTTTTCATTTTGTTATTTTTTTAGTCTCTATTACTTTTAGTTTTGCTCTGATTTTTATTGTTTCTTTCTGCAGATAGTGGGTTTCACCTGTTTCTGCTTTGTTAATTCCTTAAAATGCATCATTAGATGTTTTATTTAAAACATTTCTACTTCTTTGATGTAGGTGTTTATTACTATAAACTTTCCTTTTAGTACTGATTTTGCTGTATCCCACAGGTTTTGCTATATTATGTACCCATATACATTTGTTTCCAAAAATTTTATGACGTCCATCTGTATTAGTCTGTTCTCACATTGCTACAAAAAATACCTG
The DNA here is from genome assembly GCF_000001405.40 of Homo sapiens. Lineage (NCBI taxonomy): Eukaryota > Metazoa > Chordata > Mammalia > Primates > Hominidae > Homo > Homo sapiens. Next base: position 163,965,172 of record NC_000003.12, on the reverse strand, counting down.
AGAATGGGCAATTTAAAAAGAAAAATTGTTTAGTAGACTCACAGTTCTTCAGGCTGTACAGGAAGCATAGGGGCATCTGCTTGGCTTCTGGAGAGGCCACAGAAAATTTACAATCATGATGGAATGTGAAGAAGTAGCAGACATGTCACATGGCCAGAGTAGAAGGAAGATAGATAGAAAAGGGGGAGATACCACACACTTTTAAACAACCAGATCTTACGAGAACTCACTGTCACAAGAACGGCACTAAGAGGATGATGCTAAACTATTCATGAGAAACTGTCCTTATGATCCAGTCACCTCTTACCAGGCCCCACCTCCAACACTTGGGATTACAATTTGACATGAGTTTTGGGTAGGGAAACACATTTAAACCAAATCATTTTGTTCCTGGTCCCTCCAAAATCTCATGTCCCTCTCACATTGCAAAATACAACCATGGCCTCCCAGCAGTCCCCAAAGTCTTAACTTACTCCAGCATTAATTCAGAAGTCCAAAATGCAAAGTCTCACCTGAGACAAGGCTAGCGCACTCCTCCTATGAGCTTGTAAAATTAAAAACAAGTTAATTACTTCCAATATATGATGAGGGTATATAGATATTGGGTAATTACTTCCATTCCAAAAGGGAGAAATTTGCCAAAAGAAAGAGTTTACAAGGCCTATGCAAGTCTAAAACCCAGCAGAGCTGTTTAAATCTTAAAGCAACAAAATAATCTTTGACCTTTGACAACATATCCCACATCCAAGACACACTGGTATGAGGGGTATGCTCTCAAGGCCATGGGCAGCTCTGCCCTTTTGGCTTTTTAGGGCTCCACCCCTCCAGCTGCTTTCATAAGCTAGCATTGTTTACAGCTTTTCCAGGTGTGGGGTACAAGCTGCCAATGGATTTACCATTCTGGGGTCTAGAGGATGGTGGCCCTCTTCTCACAGCTCCAATAGGCAGTGTCCCAGTGGAGACTTTGTGGGGTGCTCTAACCTCATGTTTCCCTTCCACGTGTCCCTAGTAGAGGGCTCTACCCCTGCAGCAAGCTTCCACTTGGACACCAGGCTTTTCTATAAATCCTCTGAAATCTAAGTGGAGGCTCCCAAGCCTCAACTGTTGCACTCTGAGCACCCACGGGCTTAACACAACTTAAAAGCTACTGAGCTTTAGTGCTTGCACCCTCTGAAGCAGTGGCCCAAGCTGTACCTGGGCCCTTTTGTACCACAGCTGGAGTTGAAACAGCCAGGGTGCAGGAAGCAGTTTCCAGCAGCTGCATAGGGCAGCGGGGCCCTGGCCCTGGTGCAGGAAATCATTCAGTTTTAGGCTTCCAAGCCTGTGATGGGAGGGGCTGCTGAAAAGTTCTATGAAATGCCTTCAAGGCCTTTTCCCCATTTCCTGGCTATTACCACTTGGCTCCTGATTACATACACAAGTTTCTGTAGTCTGACTGAATGCTCCTGAATATGTGATTTTCTTTATCATATGGTCAGGATGCAAATTTTATAAACTTTTATACTCTATGTCGCCTTTAAATATAAGTTCCAACTTTACATCATTTCTTTGCTCATGTTTATGAGCACAGGATGTTAGAAGCAGGCTAATTCTTGAACACTTTGGGGCTTAGAAATTTCTGCCACCAGAAATCCTAAATCATCACTTTCAAGTTAGTAGTTCCACAGATCCCTGGGGCAGGGGAACAATGCATTCAAGTTGTTTGCTAAGGCAAAAGCTAAAATTGTTTTTTGCTCTAGTTCTCAATAAGTTACTCATTTTCATCTGAGACCTCATCAGCCTGGCCATATCACTGTCAGCATTTTGGTTACTACTATTCAACCCGTCTCTAGGAAGTTACAAACTTTTCCTAATCTTCCTGTCTTCTGAACCCTCCAAACTATCTCAACTTCTGCCTTTTTACCCAATTCCAAGACTACTTCCGCATTTTCAGGTATTTGTATCACAATGCCATATGCCTTTTTACCAATTTTTTGTATTAATTTGTTCTCACATTGCTACAAAGAAAAACCTGAGACTGGCAATTTATAGAGAAAAGAGGTTAAATTGGCTCACAGTTTTGCAGGCTCTATAGGAAATATATCAGCATCTGCTTAGTTTCTGGAGAGGCCTTAGAAAACTTACAATCATGGCAGACGGTGAAGGCAGAGCAGACATGTCACATGCCAGAGCAGAAGGAAGAGAGAGGGAGGGAGGGAGGGAGATATCACACACTTTTAAACAACCAGATTTCATGAGAACTCACTTTCATGAGAACTGCAACAAAGGTATCGTACCAAACCATTCATATAAAACCACTCCTATAATCCAATCACCTCCCAGCAGGCCCCACCTTCAACATTTGGGATTACACTTTGACATGACATTTGGGTGGAGACAAAGATCCGAACCATATCACAATTTTATGTTTTCATTGACCCAATCATCATTGAGGAACAAGTTGTTTAAATTCTATGTACTTATGTAATTTTTAAAGTTCCTCTTGATATTGTTTTTTAGTTTCATTCCACTGTGATCTGAGAAGATATTTGATATGATTTCACTTAAGGAAACATTGAGACTTGTTTGTAATGTAACATATAGTCTTTCCTGGAGAATGTTGCATGTGTTGAGAAGAATATATATTCTGCAGTTGTCAGGTAGAATGTTCCATGAATGTATGTTAGGTCAGCTTGGTTTAAAATGAAGTTTAAAACCAATGTTTCTTTGTATCTTTTCTATCTTGATAATGGGTCTAATGCTAAGAGTGGGTTGTTGAAGTCAATCATTATTATTGTAGTGGAATCTATCTCTCTCTCTTTAGATCTAGCAGTATTTGCTTTATGAATCTGTGTGCTCACAATGGTGCTCACATATGTTGAGTGCATATATATTTTGAATTGTCATGTCTTCTTGCTGGATTGATCTCTTTTTCATTATGTAATGACTTTCTTTGTCTTTTTAAAATTTACTCTTTGTAAAGTCTGTTTTTTGTTTGCTTTTAGTTTCCATTTTCATAAAATATTTTTTTTACTCCTTTACTTTCAGCCTATATGTGTCTTTACATGTAAAGTGTATTTTTTGTAAGCATCATATAGTTGGGTCATGTGGGTTTTTTTCCTCCTTTTTTAAAAAAAATCTGTTTGTTCAGTCTATGTCTTTCAAGTGGAGAATTTAATCTATTTATATGCAAAGCTAATTATTGATATAATATAAGGTTATGAGACTTTGTTCCTGTTATATTTTTAATTGTCTTCAATACTTTTGTTCCTTTATTTTACCCTTAATTTTCATCATTGTACTTTGGTGGTTTTCTATAGCGGTACAATTTGTATCCTCTTCCTCATTTGTGTGTTCATTTTATGACTAAGTTTTATACATTCATGTATTTTCATGATAGTAGATGCAATTCTTCCACTTCTAGGTTTAGGACACACTTGAGCATTTCTTGTAGAGCCAGGCAGTGCTAAAAATTTTTTTCAGTATTTACTGGTCTGCGAAAGACTTTATTTCTTTTTCATTTATGAAGGATAGTTTTGCAGAATATAATATCCTTGCAGCACTTTTTTCTTTCAGCAATTTGATTGTATTATTCCATTTTCTCCTGGCCTACTGGCCTATAAACTCTCTACTGAGAAATCTGCTATTAGTTTGATGAGAGTTTTTGTTTTTGTTTTTGTTTTGCATAGGTGAGTGGATGCTTTCGCTTACTATTTATAGCATTATTTGTCTTTGACTTTAGACATTTTGACTAAAATATGTTGTAGATAAGATCTATATGTATTGTATTTATTTGGGGTTCTAAGAAACTCCTATATCTGAATGTCCAAATCTCTTGCTAGACTTGAGAAGTTTTTATTTTGTTAAATAAATTTCTTAATCTATTCATTATTTCTTCTTATTAGACCCTAATAGTTCAAGTATTTGGTTGCTTTAAGTTTTCCCCTACATCAGAAAGGCTTTGCTCATTCTTTTTTGTTGTGTTTTTTATATTTTTTTCTTATTGGGTTATTTCAAAAGACTTGCCTTCAAGTTCTGAGATTCTTTCTTCTGCTTAGTTTATTGTTGAAGCTTCAGAATATATTTTGCATTTCATTCAATTAATTTTTCAGTTTCATAATTTTTGTTTGACTCTTTTTTTCTTTTCCTATTTTTTTTTGGATGGGGTGTTACTCAGTTGCCCAGGCTGGAGTGAAGTGGCATCATCTTAGCTCACTGCAACCTCTGCCTCCCATGCTCAAGTGATCCTCCCACCTCAGACTCCCAAGTAGCTGGAATTATAGGCATGTGCCACTATGCTTGGCTATTTTTTGTAGAGCCAGGGTTTCACAATGTTGCCCACGCTGGTCTCAAACTCCTGATCTCGGGTGATCCACCTGCCTTAGCCTTCCAAAGTGCTGGGATTACCAGCATTATGACAGCTATCACTTTGATAAATTTCTCATTTATATTCTGAATAGTTTTTCTGATTTCTTTGTTTTGTTTTTCAGATTTTTTTTATCTCATTGAGGTTCTTTACTATCAAGTAAAGAAGTGGTCTTTTTTTTTCTTGCTTTATCATGGTTCTTGTGTCTTTACATTGATGTTTGTGCTTCTGGTGTAACAGTTGCTTCTTCCAGTTATATGAATTTGTATTTATAGGGGACAACTTTATCCTGAATTCGTGTCTATGGTGTTGGTTGGGTAGGGCATTTGGGCCTTTTGGGATGTGTGTGCAGTAGTGTAGTCTCTGTATGACTTCTTTAGCTATAAATAGTATCATTCATGCTTGTGATTTCCTTGGTGTTTTAGGGAGCAATTATTAGCGGAGGCTGTGGTGATGTCTTGCTGGGAAATGGGATGCCAGGTAGGCCAGACTTCAGGCTTAGTGGTAGCAGCATTGGGCTGAGAGTGTTTTTTCTTGGGCCCCAGGGCAGTGCACACTGACACTGGTGTCAGCAGGTCCAGGAGGGTTATTTTTGGGCCTCCAGGTGACTTACTCAGATTCCAGTTGTGGCAGTTACATGCAAGGTGGGTGAGTGGGTTCTCAAGACCCTGGGGATCTGGTAATGGCAGTGGCAGTGGCAGAACAATCTTCTTGGTTTTGGGCTATGCACACTGGTGTTGGCAATAGCTTCTGTGGGCTTGATGGGCCTATCTCCAGGCCCGCTGATGTTGCGTGCATGTAAGTGTCAGCTGTGGTGGTAGTGGTGGTAGCAGCAAGGTGAGCAAGCCCAACCTCAGGTTTCCAGGAAAAGTGCTCAGAATATAACAATGTTGGACTGAGCTAGGCCATCCCCTGGCCCCTAGATTATGTGTTTTGGCATTGGGGGACAAAGCCAGCCTGGGTCAACTTGTCCTGAGGCCCCGCCAGGTGTGTGTGCAGGCAACAACCATAGTAGGAGGGGCAAGGTGATCTCCATGCCACCAGCAGAATACTCAGATGACAGGTAGCAACGGCCACATTGTTGTTCTGCCACTGAGGAGAGCTGAACTGCTGTTAGTGGTGGCAGCTTATGGCAGTGGGTGGGGAATGTTCACATTGCCTATGCCTCAGCTCTGACGCTTGAGCTTTAGGCCAGGAGGCAGTAGCCTGCTTTTTTTTTGTGACTTAACCCCAATGGTGGTAAACCATGCCTCACTTGCAAATTAACCATGGGGCACCAACTAGTACTTCTCTTGTGGTCAGTCCCAGTTCAGCTGGGCTCCAAGACAGTGCATAGTCTGTTGGGATGGGGCTCTAAAATGGCATCTTGCTAAAGCTGCTTAGATCTCAGAAAGCATGTGGGACCCAGCGTGAGCTCCCTCGCTGGAGTAGTGCCATCATATAATCTACCAGCAGCTCTCTATGTTAGTTCCAGGGCCCTTGAGTGTGAAGGGGCTCTCCCGTGGTTAAGATTGCAGGAGTCCACAGGAGGAATGTGGGCCACTGAGGATCTCACATTTACTCTTCTCTCATTTATTCCCACACTTGGGAGTCTGTCTCAGCTCCCAGTCAGCCCTGGCCATGCAAGCTACCTCACCACCCTCTTTCTTTACTTTAGGTATTTCCTGTCACTTTTCTTTTGAATTTCAGTGTTTTCTCTTGGATGATATATTTGAAATGTGATTATATATTCACTATTTTGGTTCTTCTTCATTGAGGTTAAGAATACAAAATGCCTGTTGTCAACCGCTTGAAGCCCCTCCTCTAATTTCTGTTTTTGTAATCATTTTTAAATTGGAGAGTAGGCAGCACACCCTGAAGTGAGATTAGAAGTTTTTGAAAGGACCCGATCATGATGGAATTATATGCCCTGCTAAAATAAAACAAAACAAAACAAAACAAAAACCCTAGACGTATTCCTGTACAAAGTGAAGTGACAGTATAGATTTTACTAACAAAAATAATTTTAGATACTAGAATGTAAATCACTTCATAGCAGTATTAAGAATGTATTGAAGGGTTGGAAAGGATGTAGGCATAAACAGAAATTTAAAGGTAGTTGTAGTAATAGAAATGAACAATCTCAGGGGCAGAGTTTTAAACATTATAGCAAGAAATGGAACTAAGTGAGTCAAGCTGAATAGTTAATTAAGTTCTTGATTTGCTTTGATGATTGATTAGAAAAGAGAGAAACGATACTTTACAATGATCTTGTTTGAATAATTATGCAAATATTGAAGTCCTTTACTGTAGGAAACAATAAAATAAAATGTTCACTTTTGAGAGAAAAAGCAGAAACTGTTTTCTTGGCAAGTTAACTGTGAGATGTTCATGATTATCAAATTGGAGGTGGTAAATTTAAATTGGAAATTTGGGTCTGAAACCGAGGTGTGAGATCCAGACAAATTGTATAGATTTGACTGTCATCAGCATAGAGGCTACAGTCAGTTATTTAAAAATTGTATAGATGGGAAGGGAAGAGAAACATGGTTGATGCTTGAGAAATGCCAGTATTTATGAAATGGAAATAGATACAAAGGGTTAAAAAATTGAGATAAAGTGTCCAGATAAAAAAGGGTTTTAATAAAAATCAAGGAAGGAAAGAGGTTCCCAGAAAAGGGGAGTGAGAACTAGGGGAATTAAACAAAATACATACTTAATGTGATCTGTTTTATGAAAAAGTTACTTGTTAATGGAGTGGGAATTTTAATCATAGGTTTGTGTAAAAATTAGATTTCTGGGAAAGTGAGTGTAAATTACTTTAGTATAAACCACTTTTTGCAAAGTTTGTGAGGGGAGTTAATGAGATAGGGATAGCTAAAAGATAATGAAAGATAGAGGAGCATTTTTTAAGATAAAAGGAATATGTGAAATTAGGATAATTGAGAAGGGGAATAATTAATCTATTAAATTGTTTGAAAAAAGAAAAGAGATCAAACATAAAACTCAGGTTTCTGAACACATTAATATTAAAATTAAAGATATACCACATTTTAAAACTTTGCAACAAGAGTGGAAGAGTGGGCAAAAATACTGATAAATATGTACTAATAAATATGAGGATTGTAAGTCAGAAAATTTGTGCAAAATATATTTAGCATAAAAATTGATCAGGTATTTTGTCTTAGGTTAGGATTTAAAGGAAACAGACACTAAGATGGAATTTTGCGTGAACAAAGTTTGTAACAAGCTTCGCAACCACCCTTGTGAGTAAGTGGGGAAGCAGGATTTGCAAAGGGAGAAGTTGGACTGCAATAAAATTGTAGCAAAAGCTTAAACAGATGCAACAGAGAACTCTGGAGTTCTCAGGCCCTTCAGAATTGGCATGTGTCAAGGCAAAGGTGCTGTGCAATTGCACCAGTCATTAGATTAAAGAGAGATACCTGAGAGAGAGGGTAGAACCTAGGGTAAGGCAGCTTTGTTTAGCAGAGGGAAATTTCTGAAATGAGACATAATCCACTCTTCCAGCAGCTGAGAGAATGTGTCTTGATATTGAATGGGAATTTCTGTGGTACAGAACACCCCCTACAGGTATTTTTCAAGATTCTGAAATTTATGAATTAATAGAGCTGATTGACCACCTGAATTTATTTTTTTCCAAGCCTCATTAAAATGAAGAGAAAAACCTTTTTGAGAAATGGAAACACATCTGTACTTCTATTGAGATAAAATAGATTCTATTTGGGGACTCAGAAGAAAAATAATTGAGAATCCAGGATGAATCAGATGGTAATGTGTATTTAAAACATAATATAATTACAGGATAGAAGCTTTTAATATAATCAGGGCAATGTTTTTATTTTTTAAAGCAGGCACAAAGTTATAATTTTTCTTTAAGGATTTTTCATACAGACTATATTGTGTGATTCTTCTAAAATATTTATTTTGAAGAACTATATTTATCTCCCACTAACTTAATAAACTCAGTCTTTACAGAAGAAGAGAGACTGAAATGTACTTGAGGCATTATAACCTTACATACATGCCCGGGAGACCTAAGATTATGCCACTTATAACCATTGGAAACCTGAAATAAATATAGTTCCACTGATATGTAACTATACTCTTAAACAGCTAAACTTTCCAGCCATAAAAAGAGGACGTTAAGATGGAGTGTCTAATAAGAAAGAAAAATGGAAATGGGAGGTTTTACTGACAGTGCCATGAAACTTAAAAGAGAATTGAATCAGGAGATAGAATAAAATAAATGTAAGAAGAGCAATAAAGTTATTCCTCTAAAGGCCAGAAAGGTGAATCCTTGAATGCATTTAGTCAAAAGCTAAAAAATATGGAAAATAATTTTTGAAAAAGCATTCAGTTCAAGAATCCAGGGAGAAAGCCTCAGAAGAAACACCTTATCCTGAAGAAAGGAAGAATTAACAAAGGTAACACCTGAAAGTAATAAAAATATTATAAAATTAGTATTGCATGATACATTGCCCTATTCAAAGTCTTTTCTCTTTTTATTTATTTTTATACAGAATTGTTTCAGAAGGATGTGCAAAACCTTTAACAATAGAAATAGAGATTTGTGGGTAATGAGATTGAAAGAATAGGAAGTAAAGCCAATATATATCTCAAAGAAAATAAAGTGTTTTTAAGAAATCATTATATTAACATGGTTTTAGCCATGATATTATAACTGGAACTAGACTTACCTCCCATCTTTAACAACTAAAAAACTACCAAGTTTAAGAAGCCCCTTTTATTTTCCTTTCATTAGTCAACGTGACTCTTAGGCCAGTGAAATAAAGAAAATAAATAACACGATACCTAAGATTGTTCTGGCCCAATTCTTGTATAAAATTTTTAGGCTGTAGTGCAAGACAGGTTGCCCAAACTGGAGCATGCTAATCTTCATAAGATGAGGAGACAGAGTATAGAGTTCGGGAAGGCCAACTTGGCTAGAATTCACAAAACAGAATTTTAGACAGGAAAGAGAGAGAGAGCTCCAGAGGTCTGCAGATAAATTACATCTCCTTCTGAATGTGGATTGGCACATACTCATGAGGAATCTCATGACCAAGGAAAGACCACTGGAAAGGAACAAGCAGAACAATTACTGGAGATCACATAGGGCTGGAAGTGGGTCATCTGAACAACCAGAGTGGAACATTCTAATGACACGTGGATTATCAAGTAGAGTCCTTCGTATGGCTGAATAAATTCTAGATTAAAAGTTATTCTGGACTTGGCTACCAAAGCATAAAATCAAGCATCAAAAGAATAAAACTGTTTCTGAGTAATTTAACTGAATCCTGAGACACATTTCAAAAAATTTTTTTTCATTAAATCCCAGTGACATAAAATTTAAAATGTCTGGCATTCAATAAAAAATTAGCTTGCATGGAAAGAAACATGGAATGAATATCTTTAATGGAGTGTTTACTAGGTACCAGAATTGCTCTAAGGGATTATTGTTATTTCATATAATCACTAAGGTAATTCCTCTAGAACACAATTATGTACCCATTTGATGCAGTGCAAAAATATACTGATTGATCGGGAACCCTGGCCAACAACACACACTCACAACATGGCTGAAATGAGATTAAATCTCAAGCTTGGCTGACTGAAATGTCTACCATGCGCTTGTAACTACTTACCTGTATTATTTTACTGTCATTTAAAGTTATGGAGCTATTCAATAATATTAAATACTTTCTGGAATGATTTGAGTGAAAATAAATAGCTGTAAGTTATAGGTCTGTTATCATTCAAGTGTAATATTTAAAGACTAAACTGATTTGAAATTTTATGTTTACTAGCTAAAAATAGGTGACTCAAATATTATTTTGTAACTCTATAGGAAAAATTAATTTTAAAGCATTTTTTCGCAATATTCTAAACAATGCAATTAACTATATGCAATTCGTTGATATCACACGTGAATAGGAAAATATACTACTAGCCCTTTAAGAGAGGCCTTATTTTTTCAGTCTTCACATCATCTCTCCAAAATACATCTTGCTTATCTTGCTAAAGTTTACAATTTCCAGTAGTTTCCTTGGGAATAACATCTGGTATAGGTCTCCCCAATTCCCATCCTAAAGCCAGGCTATCAAAATGTCAGAATTAAAAAGATTAAATCTGGAATCTTGGCATTACTAACAATTTGGTGAAGAGCCAAATTATGTTAACTAATAATAAGTTTATAAACTTACAATTAATTACGAAAAAAGTTGTGATAATTATGATACAATATTGAGAAGCTAAAACTCAAACAGTTCTTATATTGAAGGAATTTGTACTGAGGGAAAAAGTGAGGCTAATAGGATGCCAGATTTTTTTTTTAACTTTTATTTTAAATTCAGGGGTACATGTGCAAGTTTGTTACACAGAAAAATGTAACAAATGGGGGTTTCTTGTTCAGACTTTTTCAGCACCCAGGTATTAAGCCTAATAACGATTAGTTATTTTTCCTGTTCCTCTCTCTCCTCCTATCCTCCATCTTCCAATAAACCAGTGTGTGTTGTTCCCCTCTATGTGTCCATGTATTCTCATCATTTAGCTCTCACCTATAAGTGAGAACATGCAGTATTTGGTTTTCTGTTACTGTGTTAGTTTGTTAAGGATAATGACCTCCAGCCCCATCCACGTTCCTGCAAAATATATGATCTAATTTTTAATGGCTGCATAGTATTCCATGGTGCATAAGTACATTTTCTTTATCCAATCTATCATTGATGGACATGTAGCTTTATTCCATGTCTTTGCTACTGTGAATAGTGCTGATGCCGGTGATTATGATGGCAGCAGCGGAGGTCTGGACCAGCTGCTGCCATGCTGACTGCAGTGTGGCAGGCACAGCCAGGGCTGCATTCTCCGTGGATCCGACAAGAGCCAGGAACAGGTGAGAACTCCGTCCCCTTCCAACTTGGACGGGTGGGATCCCTGCCCTCCAAGGCACAGCTGCTGCCACTCAGCTGCCCCTGCAGACCCAGGCATCTCTGCACTTTCAGGGGCGGGAAGCCTCCCTGCACTGCAGGCTTGGAAGTGCCTGCTTCCGCTGCCTGGCCTCTCCCCACCCCCAGCACGGATTTCAGAGCAAAGTTAAAGCTGAGCCCAGGCACAGTCACAACCCGGCCAGGTGTGCACATCTCAAGGCAGAGCTGACATGCCAGCCACCTGTCACCTCGGCCCCTCCCAGACTTTGGGCGTGGACCAGCATAGGAGGGAGGCTGGGGTGGGGGCTGAGGGTGGCTCAGCGTGGGCCTACAGGTGCCTCTTGCCATGAGCAGCCTGGGCACCATGGATGGTGACAAGAGGCAGATAGGCTCTCAGGCAAAATGGGGAGGGTCCCCAGTGAAACCACACCTTCAGGTCAAAGATGGTCTGAGGCCTGGGGACTAGGCTGCCAGTTCTGGAGTGATAACTTACGGTGCTTTTTCAAGGCCCACCCATGGCCACCCATGGACCAATCAGCATGTACTTCCTCCCTTCTGAAGCCCATAGAAACGCCAGACTCAGTTAGACTTGAGTAGACATAGGGATAACCTTCCTGCGGAGAGGATCTACCCACTGGGGGTTTCCTCTTTGCTGAGAGCTGTACACTCAGACAGGATGACTTGCCTGCAGATAGGAGCTACCAACTGTGGGTCTCCCGAGAACTGTTCTGTTGTTCAAGGAAGCTCGTCTTTACCTTGCTCACCCTTCAGTTGTCCACTCATTCTTCCCGGACATGGGAAAAGAACTCGTGACATGCTGAATGGCAGGACTAGAATAGCTGTAACACAAACAGGGCTGAAATCCTCCCCCTACCACTACTCGCCATGTTGCGGGAAACAAGAAAGAGAGCAGAACTGCAGCTCTTCTGGGAGCCCAGACCTAGTGGTTCCCTGCATGAGGGCTGTGACACCTTCTTTGGCATCTCCAAGCTTCTGCGTGACACTGCATTCGCCTTGTCCAGACGCAGTTGCCCAAAGCAGCAGTTGCCCAAAGCAGCAGCCACGTGCATCTGGTCCAGCTGGCACAGGTGCCAGCTCCCAGGGCTCCTTGCCCCTCTGCAACAGCCAGAGTGCCTGGCTGTGTGCAGTGGCCAGAACCTGCACTCACTTGCCTACACACCTCTAGCTGCTCTGCAACTGGCTTGCCCTTGGCAGGTCTGGGATCCTGGCCATTAACAGGAGCCAAGGATAGCCTTCTGGGCTGAGTGAGCAGAATGAGTCCAGCAGGTGCAAGCAATACTTAGGCAGAAGACACCACTAGCCACAGAGGTTTCCTGATGGTGAGGCAACACCCCAAGGATCCCATGACAATTATATCAGAGGTTTTTAAACCATCTATGTAGTCAAAAAGTATACACACACAAACACATGTATGTACATCATGACTTGTATTTATAAAAATAAAGAATTGGAATGAAACAGAGAAGAGAATAAAGGTAAATTGTTGTTAGAATTTGTTTAACTGAAACTTATTAAAAGAAGTTCATATAGAGTGTTTTAATGATTAAATTTTATATCATATTATGCGTATAAGTAATGCATAATAAAAGTTTTTAGAAGATTGTGTTGTTTATTTAAAGTATCAGAATAGGTACTAGAAATATTATTGCTATGAAAGAAATTTGTGTTGGTAAATTTTTAACACTAACCTTGGTTTATTTTAAAATTCTAACACGTCATTTAGTTCACTTCAAAACTCTCTAGTCACTCATCAAATTTGTGCAATTTTAATGAGTCTCTTAAAAAGCAAATACACATAATATTTGGGTTTCAATTGATACATCATCTAAAAGTAATAATAGAATTGTCAGCTAAGGAGATATTATTATGATTAAAAGATAATATCTTCTTATAATTTAGTCCAGCCATGTATTTTAATTTTTTGAAAAAAGGCTAGTTATTTACTTACAACTTTTGTCAAAAGTATATCTATTTGCAATAAAAATAGAAAATATACTGTAAGCAAGTGAAATTATTTCTCTTAAAGAAGTCATCCATGAATCATTAATATAATGAACAGAACTTCTTAAGAGAAAGAATCATATGATGTTCATGTCCTTTAAAATTTTTTTCAAAGAAATAAGACTGCCTTTATATAAGTATAGACCATTTTTAAAGATAGTTAATATAAATATGAGAAATTGTTTTTGTTGCTCATAATGTTAAGGGATTTTTAGTAATGAATTACAGTACTGAACAACTATTCTCAAATGCAGAAATATCTTTCATAAGGTTCTACCAGCAGAGGGCATTAGCAGGTGATACTTCCCGAACCTTATCAACTGTAGGCAACTATTATGTGATATTAAAAATAAATAAGATAAAGTCTTTAAAGATAAATTTTATAACTTTGCAGTACAGAAAGGGAGCTTGCCTAACCCCAGAACAAACAAAACCGAACAAAACAATATCCAACACTACAAACAAAAAGGGAACATGTATACTTCTTCACTTGTATTATGCTTCCTTGAGGAATATCTTCTCAGCATGTAGGCATTAACCTAGCCACTAGTATTTCTGTGTGTATGAACATACAAAATAGGTCATACAATAAACTTTATTAGGCTAATAGTTTCTATAGAAATGTAGCTACAAACTCATATAGCATATGTAGTTACCGTCTCTTTATTAAAAGATAAAAGCTTAGTATGTATGGAGAGATTAAACATACTTCAATCCTGAGCTGAACTGATATTTATATTTGATTATAAGTACGAGCATCAAATATTTCTCACTAGGCTATTTTTGTAGTTTTCAACAGTCACTGGAGACTATCAAAAATTCACCGGGACTTGGTATGTATTCTGCAGGACAAGATCAACAAAAATTAAATTCTGCAACCTTCTTAAAGAATTTGGATGACTGTTTATTCCTATTTCTTCAAGGTATTTTATTGAGGTCATTTTGGAGCTAAGCTTTGAATGGTTAAAGAAATTGTTTTGAAGAAGGAGAAGAGAAAAATTATTTCATTTAGGGGCATAGTATGAATAAAGTTCATGATAAAGTACAGGGCATGGACTGCAATAACAGAATAAACCAGACTTGTCCAAAAAGAGCTCTGCTAAGAAAAAATAGGAGGTAAGTTTGGATGGCTTCCACCCTGTTACTCTGTCTCCTTCATGCAAAAGTTTTCATTCAGCTCCTGTTCAAAATATCAACTTACAATTTTCCACTTCTCTCCTTTGTTCTATTTTCTTAAGAATTCCTGGCTATTTCCAAATTGTTATGGTGATTTGCTACTGACCCAAAGTGAGGAGATGATCATATCATTTGTATTCAAATTAGTAAACTTCAAGAGTACACAAAAGTGTTACTGATAATTATGTCAGGACATCAAGTATACACCAGGTTGTTCCAGGTAAACAAGTACACAGATACTCATCTTGGGTATTAAAAAAAACCACATCCACTGACTTGGCTTCAACCATATTATTCTTCATATTCAATTATGTATGACAATAGGTATATACTGGATCTTGCCATCAGACAAAATAGTTGAACACACAAAACTTTAATATTCAATATAACAATAACTAATTATGATCTCCTATTCATCTGTTCCTCATAACCTAGCCGCCTGTTGTTTAAACACATTAAACCCAGCAATCACTGTGCCTACTTTTTTCTTATTTTAGTCTCGTTCTCAAAATTATATTGTTCCCTGTATAGCAAAAGCAAGTCCTACAGAACTTCAGCAACTTTCTTGCCTAACTCTTTCCTCTTAGAATTCCACCTTTAACAATCTGAATCTTCTCATTTGGTTCATAGCTACTCCTTGACCTTGTTGCTGTAACATAGTTACAAATACATTGAATACAGTTTCTTGTGATGAGCTCTTGATGGATTAACCCATTTTTCAACCTTTTATTGTTTTATGTTATTTTCATTTGCATACATTCTTTTTCATTCATTGTTTTTGAGTTCCAAATCAAGAATATATATTCATGTGTATATGTATTGTTGTATATTTAAATTTTAATTAATTTTCATAGCTTAGTCAAATGCATAGTGCACACTTAATAAGTAGATTTACAGGATATATTAAGCTCATGTATTATTTAAAGCAAACAATGAAACATACTTAATAAAAATTCATTGGATAAAGCATCATTGATTACTAACATTTATTTGTACTGACTCTATACCAGTCTCTGAACATGGACTATATTATGTAGCTAATTAAATACACATTCCCACTTTTCACTTTCTGCATCCCAACATAGAAATGCAACTTTTCAAAAGAATCTATTCCATCATTTTGAAGCCCCTGTTTCTTTGCCTGAGCCAGCTAATCTTTGATTGATTGATTTTTTAACTCAGTGAAAGGTAAAGATGGTTAAATGGATTACTGTGTGTGCTAGAGTGAAAAAGAGAATAAGGGAATGTTGTGATTGCTTTATTTCATTGATAAACAAACTTGTTTTAGGCATTGAGACTATCACTATTAATAAGAATTGACATTAAGACACATTATTTGATTCTCAAAGTAATTTTTTGAGTAAGGCACTATAATTCCCTTTGCTTTAATAGAGCTACTTTTTATGTTTAAAGAGGCTGAAAAACTTTTTTTAGTGCTTAAATTTCATAATTCTAGGCTTTATGTGTGTGAATGATGGTGAATCTATTTTTGAAATAAACTTTCAGTTTTAGAATACTTTTAAAATTACAGAAAAATTTTGAAGACATTAGCTTGTTCTTATATACCCCATACTGAGTTTTGCCTAATGTTAACATCTTATATTAGTATCATGCATTTGTCACAATCAATGAACCAATAATGAAACATTAATATTAACCAAGGGCCATACTTTCTTCAGATTTATTTTGTTTTATTAAATGTCCTTTTTCTGTTCCAGATTTCCCATAGAATACCACAGCTCATTTAGTTGTCACGTCTACTTAAGCTGTTCTTGGATGTGACAAATTCCCAGACTTTCCTTAGTTTTGATAACGTTGACAATTTTGAAAAATATTAATCAGTTATTTGTTAGCACATCCCTCATTTGGGAGTCGTCTGATGTTTTCTCATGATTAGACTAAGGTCATGGGTTTTTGGAAAACCATAGACCAAAAGTGAGATTTTCATCACCTTGTGTCAAGAATCAATATTATCAATATGATTTACAATATTGCAGTTAATCTTGATCACCCGGCTGACACAGTGTTTGTTAGATTTCTCCACTATGCATTTACTGTTTTCCCCCTTTTCATACTGTAGTAATTAGAAAGAATTCACTATGTGAAGCTCATATTTAAAGAGTGGAGAGTTATACTCCATCTCACAGAGGGCAGGGTAGTGACAATACAGTATTTGGAATTCCTCTTCACAAGAGATTTGTATGTTCTGCCCTTTTATTTACATGTTCAATCATTATTTTATATAACTGTGGACTCATGGGTATTTATGCCATGCTTTGGATTATAATCTACTCCTACTTCATTTTGTTGCTCCAATTGTTCCAACTTTGGCCATTGGGAACTCTTTAAATTGGCTCTTGTGTTCTTTTGACGTATCCTCTTCACTTGTTTGTGGTTCTGTTTGCTTGGTTTTGAGTGGTTCCTTACATTCTGGCACTTCAAGATGATCCAAGTTCAGACTGCATATTCATTAACTTAGTCTTAAAAAAAAACACCGATTACTTTAGCAGAGAGAGAAAGGAAATATACTGTGCATACTAACTGATATATTATGCATACCAGTAAATATTGATATAGGTATTTATTTGCCTCTATATTAAGCTAAACATGAATTCATACTGATGTTTCCAACGGTGATACAGAACTGCTTGGATAATTCTATGCTTCCCTCTTTCTTGTCTGTAACTTCCCACTTCAACAGTGAAAAACATCACTGCCAACATCCATCATCGATTTAATTGTTCTATGCAAATATACGTAAATAGCAGTGTCTTAAATTGTTAGTCCATAACCTATGGGAAACAATTTCATTTTCATTAAGTAGAATGCAGCTCTTGTGTGGATTTTCTTTCTCCTTTAGTCTGTAAAGACTACATTCATTGCAAAAGTTACTTGGTTCAGGGCATCTTTTCTTCCAAACCTCTTCAGTGAGCTCATTTCATACATTTGTAAAACAGATTACTTTCAAAATTCTGAATTCCATTCTGAATCTTTTGGCTGCTTCATTTAAAAAATAAATTCATACATTAAAATTTACTCTTACTGCTTTACAATTTTATGGGCTTCAAAAAATACTTAGTGGCATATATCTACCATTAAGGTTTCATAGAGAATAATACCATTGCTCTAAAACAGCTCCTGTGTGCTACTTTTCAATGTGCCCCTTTCCCCCAAACCACTGGCAACCACTTGTGTGTTGATTATTGTGGTTTAGCCTTTTCTAGATGTTACTTAATAGAGTAATAAAGTATGTATCCTTTTTCCAGACTGACTCCTTTAACTTAATACATTTTGAAGATTCATCTATGTTTTTGCATAGCTTGATACTTCTTTTTTTACCACTGAAAAAGATTCCATTGAGTTGATGTGCCATAGTTTATCCATTCGTCGATCGAATGACATCTTAGGTGTGTCTAGTTTTTGGCAATATTAATAAAGCTGCTATAAATAGTCACATCCAAGTTTTTAGGTGGGCATATTTTCAACTGGGCAAATACCTCAGAGCATGATTACAAAATCATTTTGGTAGACTATGTTTTGCTTTTTTAGAAACTGCCAAACTATCTTTCAAAGTGTGTATGTCATTTTGCAATCCCATCATAAATGAATAAAAATATTGTTGCTTGTTATCTTTATCTAAAATTGATATTTTTTGGACTTTAACCATTCTAATTAGTCTGTAGTGGTATCGCATTGTTATTTTATTTATTTATTTATTTATTTATTTATTTATTTATTTTATTTTTATTTATTTATTTATTTATTTTGCGGCAGAGTCTCACTTTGTCGCCCAGGCTAGATGGAACCTCCACCTCCCGGGTTCCATCAATTCTCATGCCTCAGCCTCCCAAGTAGCTGGGATTACAGGTGCCCACCACCACACCTATTAATTTTTGTATTTTATAGTAGAGGCAGGGTTTCACCATGTTGGCCCAGGCTGGTCTTGAACTCTTGGCTTCAAGCAATCTGCCCACCTCGGCCTCCCAGAGTGCTGTGATCACAGGCGTGAACCACCCCGCCCAGCCTATTTTTCCTTTTAATATCCCTTAATTTTATTTCACTTTACATGTGTATGTACTCGTTATTTGTACATCTTCTTTGTTGAGGTGTCCAGACCATTCGCTCATTGTTAATTGAGCTATTTATTTTCTTATTGCTAAGTTTTAGAAGTTTTTAACATAATTTGATGCAAATACTTTAGCAGATTTGCATTTTGCAGCATTTTCTTTCAGTTTGTGTTTTGCTTTTCCATTTTCTTAAGTGTCTTTCACAGACTAGGAGTTTCTCACTTTAATATAGTCCAGCTTATCTGTTTGTCAGTAATAATTTATATTTTGGCATTGTATTTTCTGCAATCATTTTTTTCTGAAATTAATATAGTTTTTTCCATTTTCACTTGATTACTGTGTGCATGGTATATCTTTATCCTCTAAGTTTTAACCTATCTGAGGATTTTTTAAAAATATTGAAATCTATATTTTTGTAGAACATATGATTAGATATTTTGTATCCATTCTAACAACCTATTTTAAAATAAATATATTTAAACATTTACATTTCAAGTTATTATTGATAAAGTTAGATTGATAATTACCATGTTGGTAACTTTTTATTCATTGAATTTTTCTTGTTTCTTATTTTTGTTTTTTCCCCCAACTTACCTGGTTTCATTTAAGTATTTCAAATAATTCTTTTTTTCTCCTGTCTTATTTCATCAATGATATTGATTATAAAAAAATTTAAGGGTGACCCTATAGTTTACAATATTTATTTTTAATCTAAATTCATTTTAAAACAATATTACATTGCTTTACAACTGGTGCATATTCTTTATAAAAGAGTATTCTTAATTACTCCCTCCAGCCTTTTTTGGAATATTTGTAATTCATTTTACTTTTTAATATGATTTCCTCACCCAATACATTGTTGATACTATTGGTTTTTTTAAAATTACCATTTAGATAAATTAAGGATAAGAAAAATAAAATATTTTATTTGACTTTTATTTGTTTTTTTCCAGATGCTTTTCTATATTTATGTTAATTCAAAATTGTGACCTGTGTAATTTTCTTTCTGCTTGAAAATTATTTTTCAATATTTCTTGCAGGACAGATATACTGTTGATAAATTCCCTGAGCATTTGTTTGTCTGATACAGTCTTTATTCTTAACCTTTAAGGAAAACTGCCAATGGATATAGAATTCTAGGTTAGTGTTTATTTTTCCTTCAATTCAAAATATTTTTCTCCATTCTCTTCTGGCTCACATAATTTCTGATGAACAGTCTGCTATAATTCTTATCCTTTCTTCTCTTATTGTTAATGCATTTTAGTTTTTCTTTATTATTCGTTTTTCCTTTTTTGCATTTGGTTTACTTCAGTTTAATAAAAATATACCTATGTGTAGATTTTGGTGTTTATCCTGCTTGATGTTCTCTGAGTTTCTTGGCCCTCTGATTTGATATTTCATTAATTATGAAAAATTATCAGCAATTACTACTTAAAACATTTATTCCTCGTTATATTATTTCTGATATTACAGTTACATGTCTGCTACAATTTTTGAAATTGCCTCAGAGTTCCTTAATGTCTTCCATTTTTTTCGATGCATTTCAATTTGGGAGATAATCTAGCGATGTATCTCAAGCTCACTGATTCTTCCTCAATCATGTCAAATAATCTGATAGACCCATCGAAAACATTATTTTTTGTTACAGTGATTTTCAGTTCTAACATTTGCTTTTTAAAAAAGTGTTCCTGTTTCTACTTGCCATACCCATCTATTCCTGTATGTTGTCTATTTCCCCACTAGAATCCTTAATATATCAATCATGGGCATTTAAAATTCTCTGTAAGATAATTCCAAAATCTATGTCATGAATGAATTTAATCTTGATGATTACATTGTTTCTTCAATATGTTATTTTTCTTGCTTTTTGGCATGACATAATTTTTTGTTGAGAGCCAGATATATTGTATTTGACAATGATATCTCTGGTAAATAGGAATTTGTGCATTTATGTAAATCTGATTATGAGTTGAGCAGTATGAAACTTTTTTGTGGCTGTAGATATAAGAATCTTCTAATTTTTCTAGTGTCCACGTTTTTATATTCTCGGGCTTTATACATACTGTTATTCATAAGGAGTCTGCTTCTTGCAGCTCTTTTAGCTGGAATTCACTATTTTACTTGAGCTACCTTGGTGTGGTAGTAGGTTGTGAGAAGGGGGACATTTTAAAAATCTAATTATTAAATTTCTTCTTTGTCTCAGGGGTAAGTCTTTTACATGTATTTAGGTCTTTCCTTTAGTTGTATGCCGTTTTACTCCTAGACTCTATTTCCTTCCTTGATTGAATCACTTCCATTTTTTTTTTTTTGAATCAGTATCCCCTTTGGCTGTATTTCCCTCTTAATTTCCTTAGGTGAGACAAGAAGATTGGAGGAGGTTAAAATGAAGAGTAATTTCCTTCCAGCAGCTGATATAAGATTTCAGAATTGTGTTCTTCCAAAGCACTACTCACTGGAAAGTAGACCTCTTTTTAGGGAGAAGGCCCTAGTTGTAATTTACAAAGATTTATCTTTCCTTCCCTTGTCATGAGGGGAGGAAAGCTATGAGGGGTCCTTCTTGGTTCTTCACCATGACAACCTGGGAAAAAAGCTCAGAAAAGGTAGAACTCTTCTAAGACTGTGACTCCCAGGATCTTCATACTCTCATGAAGCTAATGCAAACTATATCAACAGGAACAGATACTGAAACACCCTTGACTAAAAAGTAAATAATTTGAGGGCAGTGAACTTCAGTATAAAATAATGATATTCTTATGACGTAAATTCTTATGACATCATCATTCAAATTAATTCTTATCAACTATTTTTGTTACTTGACCTGTGTTCCCTAACAGCCTGATTTTCTTTCTACTCTCTATCCATTTTTTTCACTTTGTTTTCACCCACCTTTACTGTCTGAGATATCAATATGCTGACTCTCTTGGCCTCCCTAATAGTTCAGAGCTAAGTTTGTGAACTAAACTGTTTTAGCTGGAGTAAACATTAGACTAATATCAGTTATGTATAAAAAGATTATTTCTTTTTGTAACAAACATTGAGTAGTGTGGTAAATATTGCTGCAATAAGCTGAAAATATTTCTAAGAATGAAACCAACAGAACGGAATTGTGATAAGAAAATAAAATGGAAACTGAAATGTGTAAAGTGAGAAAGAATGCTTAAAAGATTGATCTAATATGAGAAATCTTAGAGATGAAGAAAGGTGAGAAGATGAAATGTGAATTGAGGTTATAGGAAGAGCAGTACATTACACGGAGGTCTTAAAATTGTTGCTGTAACCACAATGAAAGTGCAACAGTGAATCTTTTCCCCATTTCTTGTTTTTGTCAGGTTTGTCAAAGATCAGATGGTTGTAGCTGTGTGGTATGATTTCTGAGGGCTCTGTTCTGTTACATTGGGCTATATCTCTGTTTTGGTACCAGTACCATGCTGTTTTGGTTACTGTAGCCTTGTAGTGTAGTTTGAAGTCAGGTAGCGTGATGCCTCCAGCTTTGTTCTTTTGGCTTTGGATTGTCTTGGCAATGAGGGCTCTTTTTTGGTTCCATATGAAATTTACAGTAGTTTTTTCCAATTCTGTGAAGAAAGTCATTGGTAGCTTGATGGGGATGGCATTGAATCTGTAAATTACCTTGGGCAGTATGGCCATTATCATGATATTGATTCTTCCTATCCATGAGCATGGAATCTTCTCCTATTTGTTTGTATCCTCTTTTATTTCATTGAGCAGTGGTTTGTAGTTCTCCTTGAAGAGGTCCTTCATATTCCTCATAAATTGGATTTCTAGGTATTTTATTCTCTTTGAAGCAATTGTGAATGGGATTTCACTCACGATTTGGCTCTCTGTTTGTCTGTTATTGGTGTATAAGAATGCTTGTGATTTTTGCACATTGATTTTGTTTCCTGAGACTTTGCTTAAGTTGCTTATCAGTTTAAGGAGATTTGGGGCTGAGACGTTGGGGTTTTCTAAATATACAATCATGTCATCTGCAAACAGGGACAATTTGACTTCCTCTTTTCCTAATTGAATACCCTTTATTTCTTTTTCCTGCCCGATTGCCCTGGCCAGAACTTCCAACACTATGTTGAATAGGAGTGGTGAGATAGGGCATCCCTGTCTTGTGCCCGTTTTCAAAGGGAATGCTTCCAGTTTTTGCTCATTCAGTATGATATTGGCTGTGGGTTTGTCATAAATAGCTCTTATTATTTTGAGCTACGTCCCATCAATACCTAATTTACTGAGAGTTTTTAGCGTGAAGCGTTGTTGAATTTTGTCAAAGGCCTTTTCTGCACCTATTGAGATAATCATGTGGTTTTTGTCTTTGGTTCTGTTTATATGGTGGATTACGTTTATTGTAACTGCCTAGCCATATGTAGAAAGTTGAAACTGGATCCCTTCCTTACACCTTATACAAAAATTAATTCAAGATGGATTAAAGACTTAAATGTTAGACCTAAAATTATAAAAACCCTGGAAGAAAACCTAGGCAATACCATTCAGGACATAGGGATGGCGAAGGACTTCATGTCTAAAACACCAACAGCAATGGCAGCAAAAGCCAAAATTGACAAATGAGATCTAACTAAACTAAGGAGCTTCTGCACAGCAAAAGAAACTACCATCAGAGTGAACAGGAAGCCTACAGAATGGGAGAAAATTTTTGCAATCTACTCATCTGACAAAGGGCTAATATCCAGAATCTACAAAGAACTCAAACAAATTTACAAGAAAAAAACAAACAACCCCATCAACAAGTGGGCAAAGGATATGAACAGACACTTCTCAAAAGAAGACATTTATGCAGCCAACAGACACATGAAAAATTGCCCATCATCACTGGCCGTCAGAGAAATACAAGTCAAAACCACAATGAGATACCATCTCACACCTGATAGAATGGCAATCATTAAAAAGTCAGGAAAAAACAGGTGCTGGAGAGGATGTCGAGAAATAGGAACACTTTTACACTATTGGTGGGACTGTAAACTAGTTCAGCCATTGTGGAAGACAGTGTGGCGATTCCTCAAGGATCTAGAACTAGAAATACCATTTGATCCAGCCATCCCATTACTGGGTATATACCCAAAGGATTATAAATCATGCTGCTATAAAGGCACATGCGCATGTATGTTTATTGTGGCACTATTCACAATAGCAAAGACTTGGAACCAACCCAAATGTCCATCAATGATAGACTGGATTAAGAAAATGTGGCACATATACACCATGGAATACTATGCAGCCATAAAAAAGGATGAGTTCATGTCCTTTGTAGGGACATGGATGAAGCTGGAAACCATCATTCTCAGCAAACTATCGCAAGAACAAAAAACCAAACACCATGTGTTCTCACACATAGGTGGGAATTGAACAATGAGAACACTTGGAGACAGGAAGGAGAACATCACACACCGGGGCCTGCCGTGGGGTGGGGGGAGTGGGGAGGGAAAGCATTAAGAGATATGCCTAATGTAAGCGACGAGTTAATGGATGCAGCACACCAACATGGCACATGTATACATATGTAACAAACCTGCACGTTGTGCACATGTACCATAGGACTTAAAGTATGATTTTAAAAAAAAAGTGCAACAGTGAAAGGACACAATTTCCTTATTTTTAATGTTTTCCTTACCTTCCTCTTTTTTTCTCAGTATTATGGACCGAGGTTGGGCAAGGTAAAATGCAGCAAGAAAATGAATTTGAATTTCTACCTCTTCTTTCTTTTCTTTTTTCTTTTTTTTCTTTTCTTTTTCCTTTCCTTTCCTTTTCCTTTTCTTTTCTTTTCCTTTCTTTTCTTTTCCTTTCTTTTCCCCTACCTACCTCTTATTACCACTGTTCTTCCCTTTAAAATTTCATTTTTCTTTCCTCCGTTTCCTACCATTAGTCTAAAGCGGGAAAATTCAAATGTCTCTACGCAAAAAGGGAAAAGAGTGGCTGTTTAACCCAGGAGAGAAAATGGAGAGCAGAAAAAAAGGTTAAAGATTTAACGTAAATAAATATTACAAAAGAGACCAAAAAAAGGCAATTACTTTATTTTTGTCAATCTAGTAAGCTTCCCAACCCAAAGGGATGCTTAGTTATTTTTACTTCGTGAACTAACTATATCAGTCAGAGTCTCAGTAGGAAAAGGATTATACATTTCAAGTGGCTATTTTTAGAGAATTTTATTTAGGAAAGTTTAAGGATAAACCATAAAATCTAGTGCAGTACATCAGAGCAAGCAATTCAGGTATCAAAGGCAGGAAGCAGGAAACCAAGAGGAAGAAAATTCGTATGGCATTTGACAGAGTTGTGGCCTTTGTTGAGGAACACAACCAGCCAAAAGTGATGCCACAGGGAGTGAGTGAGCAAGAAAATAAATAGGATGAACACAACGTCTTCCCTAATTCCAATATCGCCACTGCTAGACCACAATTAGAAGCCAGGGGGCAGGGCCAGGCATGGTGACTCACTCCTGTAATTTAAGAACTTTGGGAGATCAAGCCAAGAGGGTCACTTGAGTCCTGGAACTTGAAACCAGTCTGGGCAAATAGTGAGATCCCATCTCTACAAAAAATAAAGCACTAGCCAGGCATGATGGCATGTGCCTGTATTCCCAGTTACTCAGGAGGCTGTGGTGATGGGTCGTTTGAGCCCAGGCTACTGTAGGCTGTGATTGCACCACTGCACTCCACCCTGTTTCAGGAAAAGGAAAAAAGTTAAAAAAAAAAAAAAAAAAAAAAAAGAAAAGAAAGAAAGAAAGAAGCCATAGGGCAGGATTCTACTGACCCAATATAAGTAGGACACTAACCGGGTGAAGAAGGATGGAGGAAAAACCTGGGTGGACAAATGAAAAACCTCTAGACTTTGAAAATTACTGGAAAAATGTAAAAAACAGAAAGAAACAACAAAAAAAAAACTTCTGAGTTAAAAAGCTTTCCTTTAAGTCATGAAATCGTACTTAAATCAGACATTATTACTTGTTTTGGAAGTCACTCTATTATATAGAACATGAGACTTGTCAAATGTCAGTTTGAGATAGCCATGTGAAGGTGTAAAACATCAAGGTTTCAGTTTGCTGACATTTAAATTATATAAAATCATAACGCTAGAAGAATACACAAGAACAGTAATTTGTGCAATAAATAAAAGTACTTTTTGGTAGAAAATCCTTAACAAAAAATACTGGTTATATATCAAGCTAAGGTATGTAAAACTCCGTTCATGTTAAAAGGTAATATAATTTTTCTTAAAGAATCGCGTTTGATTTCTATGTGCATATGCATTTTTGAACTCTGGTGCAAATGATTATTTTTGTTATAGTAATCACCACTTGAAGTAAGTACCTTACTTTAATTCTGTTCTTAGAAAAGAAATTATTTTGTATTCAGATTAATTCAACTCAAATTTTACTCATTATATTGACCATGTTAGCATTATTATACAGTTCAATTATGTTTTATAAAAATAGATGTCTATTTAATTATAGAGGTAAAGGCAAACATCTTAGATAAAACCTTCAATTGTGTTATTCAATGTATTGTAGTCTATTATATGTATAATACATCTATAATACATAGATGTATTATAGTATATTATAATTATATATTATAAAATATACATATAATTATATATATACATAAAATTATATATGCTACTTTCAGCCTAGAACAGACACTTCATTATTCATTCTCTCTGTGGGACAAAAGGCATAGTTAATAATAAAATATGTCCATATATGTGAATATATTTAAGTCTCTGTTTATGTTTTTAATTGGAATGTGTTTATACAATGTTTTATAAAGACTTTTAACTTTCATTGCAGTTAATTACTCCCTTATCACATTCTTTACCTCTTTGAAAACTAATTATGCATTTGTTTTATGCTACCTTGCACAACTGTGAAATTACATATGCATTTCCTCTTCTAGGCCTTGAATTCTAGGGAATAAGTTCATTTGTTCCATAGTGCCTACATAGTGCTGTAGATATAATATGCTTACTAGATTTGTTAAAAACAAATTATCATCAAAGTTACCTCTGACAATTTTTGTTGTTTGTTTGTCATATATTATTTCAGTAAAGAAGACTAAGTAATTATATCAATTTATATTATTAAAGACTGAGGTTTTTTTAATGGTTGTTAAGAAATTAAATTTTGCGTGAATATATTGTGACAAGTATAGAAAAGAAAACAAATTTTATTTTATTTATTTATTTATTTTGAGACAGAGTCTTGCTCTGTCGCCCAGGCTGGAGTGCAGTGGTGCAATCTCGGCTCACTGCAACTTCCCCCTCCCGGGTTCAAGCAGTTCTCCAGCCTTGGACTCCTGAGTAGCTGGCATTACAGGCACCCACCATAATGCCAGGCTAATTTTTGTACTTTTAGTAAAGACGGGGTTTCACCATGTTGGTCAGGCTGATCTCAAACTCCTGACATCGTGATCCGCCCATCTCAGCCTCCTAAAGTTCTGGGATTACAGGTGTGAGCCACCGCACCTGGCCAACAAATAAATATGAACTGTAGTGAAATAGATTCCCAAAGAGATTTAAAATTTTTAACATAAAATTATTTAAGGGCCAGGCATGGTAGCTCACACCTGTAATCCCAGCACTTTGGGAAGCCTAGGTGGGAAGATCACTTAAGGCCAGGAGTTTGAGGCTAGTCTTGGCAACATAGTAAGACCCTATCTCTATTTAAATAAATAAATAAAATAAAGTTATTTAGGGTGCAATAAAAGGATAATTATCTTTCTGGGATATTTTTCTACCTAAAAATATGAAGACCTTTTTAATTTCCCTTAATCGTTTTGAATATAAAAATACCAACTGATATGGTTTGGCTGTGTCCCCACCCAAATATCATCTTTTATTTTAGTTCCCATAATCCCCACAAGTCATGAGAGGGACCCAGAGGGAGGTAATTGAATCATGGGGCAGTTACCCCCATGCTGCTGTTTTCATGATAGAGAGTGTGTTCTCACGAGATCTGATGGCTTTATGAAGGGCTTTTCCCCCTTTTCTCAGCACTCATTCTCCTTCCTGCTACCATGTGAAGAAGGATGTGTTTCCTTCCGCTTCTGCTATGATTGTAAGTTTCCTGAGACTTCCCCAACCATGTTGAACTGAGTCAATTAAACCTCTTTCCTTTATAAATTACCCAGTCTCAGGTATGCGTTTATTAGCAGCATGAGAACAGACTAATAAATACACCAACATTTCAGGTTCCCTATCTTTCTGTGCCACATTATTTCAGAATTCAGTTCTGAATGCAGTGTCTGCCCCACCCATTATAAATCTATCCTTTGTGTTTTTATAAATCTCAATTTTAATAGCGAGCATCAACAGAGAAGAGATAACATATAAAAGCAAAGTAAATGAATTAATATACTAATTTTCAAACCTATTCTCAAGTCAACTGGAAACTTGGGTTTCAGAATCATAGTGAGTTATAAAAATGATTTCCTAAAATACCACAGTGAATTAAAGTACAAACTTAATATAATCCTCTATTAAAGAGTTCAAAAACAATACTAGAACAAAAGCAAACTTGTCTCATTGTATTTGTCTCAAAATTTAAGTACCCTGAGAAAAAGTAGAAAACAAAGGACAAAATTCTTTCCCTCATATTTATTTGTCTTATTAAAATGTGATTAACATGAAAATAGATACAACTTCAAATGTGATTTTCGAAATTATAAAATTTCATTTCTGTTCACTTCATCTGCAGGAAAGATCACTAATCTCAAGAATTGTTCTCTTTTTTATGTGTGACCCATTCCCTGAACATCTGCAACTTTTCTTCCTGGAGTGATCAGAAAAAAGATGTAATGATGATTAACGTGTTGCAGGGAAAGAGAATGTGCTCTGGTTATGACTGTTTTGTGCAGTTTCTGTAAATTGGAATAACAAATGACATCCCACTTTAGCTGAATCTGAGATAATCAGACAGCATCTGCCTTCTGTTTTCTAACTCCATTTATAGGAAGAAAATGCTGTCTTTAAAATCATTCATCTTCTGAAGTGCTACCTCCTTCCTTTCCCATCAAGTCTCCTCTTGATTCAATGTTTTTTTGAGGCATCTTATCTTGACCATTCAATACTATCAAATCTAACATCATTCTTTTTTGAGGGTTCTGAATGAAAAACTGCTTTTTAATATTTTTATCATTTATAAGCTTGAGCTATCTTTTTGCTTAGTAAAAAAATTATTTTCAGCAGCAAAACTAATATTTATGTTTAACAAAAACAAAGCCAAACTGATGCTCCTGTGTATGTATAATATTATTAATTTTTTTAATCCACACTACCCTTTGGCATCTTGAAAATAGGTTGCTGTTATCTATTCTAGATTATCTCCATTGCCTAATATTTTGAACACACCTAGGTAACTCATGGGTCTCCATCTGTCTATTTAGACTAATTGTTTTCATCAGGAGAACAATTAGAGAATGGAGGTGGAAAGGCTACTCTGTGTGGTAAGTCATAAGGCATGAATTTTCACCTACACTCTGTAACTGACTTGTTATAAGAGCATGGTTTTGATTATAATTTGAGAGGGTATTCTATCTTCTAGAAGTAGAAGATAATCATAGCCTTCAAGTAACTTTTAAGTTTAGAAAGTTGAGTTAGATACTTACATGCTTGAAGTATATATTAGTTTTGCATTGCATTGCTGTGTAACATATTACCACAAACTCAGTAGCTTAAATCAACAAAAATGTATTATTTCATGGTGTCCATGGTCAGATTCTGGGTATGGGTTAGCTGGATCTTTGGCTTGGGGTCTCATCAGCCCGAAAGCCACATGCTGGCCAAGGCTGCCACCACAGTGGGCTCAGTGTCCTATTCCAAGCTCACTAATTATTGGCAGAACTTAATTCTTTCTAATTATGAGACAGAGGTCCTTTCTTTCTTGCTGGTTATCAACAGGGAGCAATAAACCTTCTATAAACTGTCCACCAGTTCCTGCATGTAGTCTTCTCCGTAACATGGCATTCTGCTCCTTCCAGCTGCCGGGATAATCTATCATGATTTACATCTCCTCTCTAAGAAAGTGTCCAGTATCTTTTAAGGGTACATCTAATTAGGTTATGTCCACTTAGCTCCTCCATTTTGATTACATCAAAGTTAACTGACTATATCTGAAAAATCTCTTTGCCATGTCAAATAGTGTCATCCTAGGAATTATATTCCATCATATTCACTGGTCTTGCTTACAGTTAAGGGTAAGGCGATTATACAGGGCATGTACATTGGGGTCAGGTGGAGTCTTTTGGGAAATTAAGAATTCTGCAAACCACAAAGTGCAAAAAGGAAAAAAAGTAAGTGTGCAGTTAGACAGAAGTTGGATTGATAAAAATTAAAATTATGCCTTCTATATATATATAGTGGAAAATAAATGTAGATGAGAAATGGTGATGCAAGGATTAAAGTATATATATTTTTTCAGGTGATAGGAGATTTGACAAGGGAAGAAAGAATGTATTTCAACAAAGAACAAGTCAGATAATGTAATGAAAATGAAAATGCAAGGACTGATTCTGTAGGTCAACTTGGCCAGTAAACTTAATGGTAAAGATATAGGTCACTCAATGAAAAGTTTTAAATGCATTCTGCTTGTTTTAGAAGGCAACAGCACGTTAGTGAATGTTTAAGGTGGCTGCACTGTTCTCTACTTTCCCCTTCAGATACACCTTCCACTGCTTACCCTAGGAAGCCCACCTATCTATACCACATTCATGGAACCATCTGGCTTTGGCCGTCCTGTTGGGTTTGCCTAGTCAGAAGCTGTTGCAGGCCATCTAGGGGATGGAAGGAGAGTAAAGTGGTTTACATACCTAGATTCCCTTCTTGTTGGGCTTGCTACCTCCCTCATGACAGGTGGCCTTTGCACACAGCCTTTTGTGTCATTAGATTCTAATAATCACTTTCTTTTTTATCTCCTTCAGCTATAACAATGGAAAAAACAGTGAGATGTAAAACCCTGGGTATAGTATTATTCCTTGTGTTTTTTCTTCACTTGACCAACACTTTTTTAAATCTTAGTATGAAACTCCCTTAAAATTCACAACTTTGACAGTGCCATTTATTTGTCCTGAGTCTTGACTGAAATTGAGACCGATATAACTAAAATTCTCGTGGGAGGATTAATCTGAGAGTAATACGTAGTGTAGAGTGGAAAATTGTTGAATATTTTAGTCCAGCTAAGAGTAATAATACAGGCATAAACCACTACTGAATACGAAAATACATAAAATGTGATACAGGAAATAATGTGGAGGCAGACTACATAGTACTCAGCAACTAACTAAATGTAGGGGATAAAGAACAAGAGAATGAAAGGGTAATCCAAGGACAAATCTTGGCAATTAAGAGAATTGTCATCCCAGGAATGAAAATACCAGTTTCAGAAGACGACATTAATTTAGTGGCTATTAAGTATAATATGTTTGTTTTTGAACAAATATACATAAATATAGTGGACATTCAAGCACATAAAGCAAGTAGGTGGTTGGAAAAGCAGATTTAACATTTCAGAGCATGGTTGAAGCCAAAATTACAGACTCAAGAACTACACATAAAATATGTGATAAATGAATTCATAAGAATTATTATGTCTTGAGAAAAACCAAAGAAAAATAATGTACATCCAAGGACAAAACCTTAAGGTGCCTATCAACAGAGAAATTTGAAGTAAAATCTTCAGAGAATAAAACAGGCTGGGCGCAGTGGCTCACACCTGTAATTCCAGCACTTTGGGAGCCTGAGGTGGGTGGATCACCTGACGTTAGAAGTTCGAGACCAGCCTGGCCAACACGGTGAAACCCCATCTCCACTAAAAGTACAAAAATTAGCGAGATGCAGTGTCACGCTCCTGTAATCCCAGCTACTCGGGAGGCTGAGGCATGAGAATCATTTGAACCTGGGAGGCGGAGGTTGCCGTGAGCTGAGATCACGCCACAGCACTCCAGCCTGGGTGACAGAAGCAGACTCCGTATTAAAAAAAAAAAAGTCAAAATGTTATAATTTTTTAAAGAAGAAGAAAAATTAGCTATTGTAGCAGAGCACGCCTGTAGTCCTAGCTTGCAGGAGGTTGAGGCAAGAGGGTTGCTTGAGCCCAGGAGTTTGAGGTTACAGTGAGCAATGATCACACCACTATACTCCAGCCTGGGCAAGAGAGGGAGACCTAGTCTCACAAAATAAACATAAAGAACAGAAAAGCTTTTTAAGAAGCAGGAAATGGTTATATTAATGCCGCCTCCATGTCTGCTTGGCTGACAAATTAATCAACACATTCTTGTCCTTATTCAGTCATTTATTTCACCATGTGACGCCATCATCCACTTAATCAGACCTTTTTGGATCAAGGGTAAACATCGTAACCAAACATAATTAATTCAGAGTCTGGTCACTGGTCCAGAAGTGCACTTGCACAATATGCTGAGTTCGTCCAGAGATTCTACTTTACAAGATTTATATTGATAAACTCAGACAGACTGAGTTAGAAGTTGTGACTAATAGTGTCTAAGGAGTAGTAACAATATTTTGATACAATGCCATGAAAATTTTTATATCATAAATAGATTGATAACAATGTAAGAGGGAAATATCAGGATCTATATAAACTGCATATCAAAGGTTAGATAGTCAAAGTGCTCATAGTGCTGCATATCAAAGTGCTCATAGTCAATTCTGAGATTAAAATGTATTATTTATATCATTACAAGTGTAGGTTGAACACTATATACATGTAACTGTTGAATGTGACAACAAGATATACAATTCTTAAATGAATGTCTAAATGAATGTCTAAATGTAGTTGCAATATTAAGAAATATTAGGGGGAAAACTAATTCTGAATATCATCACCAGCTATTATAAGTCAAGCATTTTGCAAAGCACTGAGTATTCAAAGATGAACATGGCAGGATCCCTATTTTCAAGATGTTCCCAGATAACATTTAAATTTTAAAGTTTACCGAAGTATCATTATCTGTAAGCATTAAGCACATTTATGAAGTGGCCCCTATTCCTGTTGTTGTTTCATACTGGGAGAAATGTTAAATAGATAGAAACCCATCACAATGTGTATATATGAAAATGTAAGCAATGTGCATAAATAATTTTTTACTTCTAAAATGGTTTAAGTACCTATGTACTCTATTAATGAAAATTATACCTGATTAATTTTTTTTGTTTAAAATATTAAGTGGATTTACCCTTATGCTCTTATCTCCCCTTGTTAGTTTGTTATTGCAAACATGTATTACATAATAAAAACAACCTTGAGTAATTTTTCAAATTCCATTTTTAAAAAGTTAAAGTGCATATATAATCCTTGGTGTCCTCTGGTGTGGAGGGCTTCCAGTTAAATAGAGATAGATCTCTAGATAGATAAATTAAGTGGTAGAAATCAAATATAGTAGAGTTATACAATTTTAACGTTTCCTATATAATTTGGATGAAAAATATTCCATCAGAATTTTTAATTTTCTTATATTATATAATCCAGAATTGTTAAAAAGAAAGCAACAGATTAGTAATCTATACCACTTAAATTCATCTATACTATGTCTGCATGTAAGCTTGACACATTCTTGTATCTGTGTTTATGTGTCACATGTGTGTCATACAATAAAACTATAAAAATACTTCT
This sequence comes from Homo sapiens, assembly GCF_000001405.40. Lineage (NCBI taxonomy): Eukaryota > Metazoa > Chordata > Mammalia > Primates > Hominidae > Homo > Homo sapiens. The sequence continues at coordinate 163,931,998 of NC_000003.12, read as the reverse complement.
TTTCTAAATATGTTAATTTTCAAACTGATTGCATATTAATATCTTAGGCAAAGCAGAATAATAAAGTAGAAAATAAAGATAAGATTGGCTGAGTGTAGCACACTTCCTCCCCTTTATCACTTGTTCTAATATTTAAATTCATCCTTTGCCTTCATATCATGTCCTTCTAACGTACAATTTGTTACGTTGGAGGAAAGTTATCTAAGAAACACATTTACATTAATGTTATAGGATTTATCATGTTATTCATCCAGGATTACTTGCATTTTAATTAGCAGAGAGTTAGTATTATTAGCATGCTGGCTAATCATCTTGCTTCCAGATTTAGAGAGAAATTAATTCAAATCCTGGTTCCATTAGGTATTATGAGCAATTCAGGTATACCTTTTAAGATTCAGTTTCCTGTTAATTGGAGATAATATTCACTTCATAGAATTGATATACAGACAACAGGAGAAAATATATGTAAAGAACTTAGCACAGTTTCTGGAAAGAAGTATATGTTTTATAAATTTGAGTTGAGAATACGACTAAAATTGATTGAACCTATTATCTATAAAAATACAAGGAGATAGATATAGAATAAATTAAAAAATATTTCTATAGCTTAATTAGCACTTAAAACATTCCAGGCATTGTGTTCAGGTATGGAAATAAAATGTTTTATATGCTTATGTTTATCTATAAATGTACTTATTTCTATATGGGTGACATTCCCATATCTTTCTCTGAAAGATGGAGACTAAATGTTACCTAACATCAGCACAGCTATTTGGTTTGCAGTAACATACACAACTCCTCTGGTTTGTACAAGCAAGCAAATATCAGTTTGTAACAAAGGAAGTGATATAGAAAAAAGGAAGGGAATTGTGTTCCAATTTTATTTATTTTGGAAGTCAAAAAACACTTAGTGTTGAATATTTTTATCCCTTGTCTTCTTGCTTTAATAATCTGATTATATTTTTGTCAATATATACTTCTTTCCAGGAAAAAAGTTTAATACTGTGGATAAATTCATTTTCTATTTTTATTTATATGTCTGGTGTTTGGAAGCAGGTCTAAACTCTTTTGGACTGAATAAGCCCCAGATACTCTTGGTTAAGGATGAAGGAAGAAAGATACTGAGAGAAAAGAGTGAGACTGATGCTAATCTAGATAATCATAGCTCCAGAACTTAATTATAATAATTAAAGATGCAAAATTACAGTCATATTGTAAGCTACTAAAGTAAATTAATGAAGAAATCCATATAAATGGATCTATGAATGTAATTTAAAGAAGGACATGCTAAGGAAATGGAAATTATCAAACATACCTAGTAAGTATATGGTCAAACCATGGGTCTGCAAGCCATTTACATACTTGGATGGGCCATGCATGTCTTTGCAGCCCCTTTGATAAGTATATTCATCTTATTCATGAAGGAAGAGCCCTCGTGACCTAATCATCTCCCAAAAGTCCCACTTTCTAATGCCATCACCTTGGTGTGTAGGTTTCAACATATAAATTTTGGAGGGACATGAATATTTAAAGCATAGCAAGATATATAACCTATGTTATATACATAAATGCATAATACACACTTCTTTTATAGCTTTTAAGGATAAGATTTTAACTTTTTTCTATAGTAAAGTTAAAAAAATAACAACACTACTCACCATCATGTTTTGAGTCTCAAATATGCGCTGGACATTTTGTGTATATATATTCTCTCTCTCTCTATATATATATATATACACACACATATATATATAATATATAAATTTATTTAAACATCAGAAAAATACAGATAATATTTTTATTTTATTTTGTTTATTTTAATTTAATTTTAATATAAGGTATTACAATTTTAAAAGATGTTTAAAAAATTTTTGAGCCTTCCTTAAGTCTCTAAACTAATTAAAAAGCCAAGCTGATACTTGAAACTATCAGGAGCTGATTCAAAATCTAGATTAGTGAGGGAGGCAATGAAGTAAAATACATAAAAGTAATAAAGCCTAAAGAGTAGGGATGTGTGAGCACAAGCAAAACAAGTTTAAGCCTAAAGATTATTATAAGGGAAATAGTTGGACCGGCGTTAAAGCTAAGTAGGAGTTTTCTAAGTAGATAAATGTAAGGAGTTGCCTTCCAGATTGAAATATCTTGCAAAAATCTGTGTATAGATGCATAAGAAATGATCAATAATTATTGTGGGTAAAGGACTTTTTCAGAATACTTTTCAAATCATATTGCGAGTTTCTGCTATAAGCAAGTCTGAATTTGAGCCCGAGCCTGTTTTCAGAAATTGAGATGTTTCTGAGTATGCTGGAGGTCCTGTCTATTGCAGTGGACCTGAAAGAAAAATGTGTGTTGTAATAAACAATATTGCAAGGAAAGAGGGTTTCTGTGGGCTGTATTGGAATTGCGACTTCAGAGATTTTTTTTTTTTAAGTTCTTATGCTGTGAAGCATCTTTTCTTGTCACTTTGTGCCTACTTTCTGTTTTCAGTCTCCTGTTTCCCTTCTGATGTAGTTTGGACTCTGCCCAGGGCTCTATTTGTGTGTTTGTGTATGTGTGGGTGAGGATGTGGGTGTGTCTGAGTATGAGTATAAATATGACTTTCATAGCATAATATAAATCTTCAGGGCAATCATATTGCCTTCAGGAAGCTACAGATTTACTAAGGGATTCTTTACTAAGTTAAAGAAAATGAATGTGAGCTATATGACTGAGGACTAGCGTCTCTTTTAAAAACTTGACTTTAAAACATTTGCTCTTCTCCCTAGTTAGATATTTGCTTTAGTTCTGGACAAGATTGCAATTTGTTCAGACCTGTCATGCTGATTAAGCATGATTAAATTTTTAGAACTCTTAAAACTAAATATAGTTATTTACCATGATAGAAACCATAACTACAAGAAAAAAAATGACTGATAGTGGCCATTAATTAGTAAATATTTCAAAGGACACTGACATTTTTATTAGCCCTCTATATTAAGTGAATAATGCTTTGTGTTCAATGATTAGAAAAGATGAAAACTGCAGGGGAGTTTAAAACAGCTATGATAAATCTATATGCTAAGATTAAGAGGGTTTTTCTTCTGGCAGTCTCCAAAATATGCATGACATGTACTACTATTGGTATAGAGATGATTTTAAGTATTAAAGACACAACTTTAAATTACCTTGGATTACATGGGGAGAAAATGATTTTTTTTTCAATTTGGCTTCAATCTTCCTGATTGCATCATGAGAAAATTCTCACGTTGTCACTAAGCTCTATTTAACAACCCTCAGTTTTCGCTAATCTCCCTTTTTATAAAAGAGAGGTAGGCCTTAGTTGCATAGCCTTCTCCAAGCAAAGGTATTTGGTCAGAAGTTAATAATATGTTTTCATCGCATTAATTTTATACCATCTCTGTGGGCAGTTAGTTCTGGTTTCCTATCTACTAGAATAATAAAACAATTCTTAAACACATTTAATACATTTTGAGTACATTTATTTATTAAGTAATATAAAGAAAAACTATAAATTGAGACTACTATTCTCTATATTAAGATTTTTTTTTTCCTCTCAGGTTGGTTCTTTCAAAAAACAAAACAAAACAAAAAAACAAAACCTACAATAACAAACAAAAAACCCTAGTATCCAAAACTGGAATTGCATCAGGAGGCTCTAGGTTAGGACTACTTCTGACAAACAGGGTATAGAATGACCATAATTCATACAGGATGCCCAACAAATGTGGATGTAGAAGGTCAAGAATCCCTCTATTTTTTATGAGTTAGGCCAACAGTGAACATCAGACGCTAACCAGAAGGCCAAAAAATTGGCAATTATAGTCACATGGCTTTTTATTTAAATAGAAAGTTAACCAGCCATTCTTTCTTGATTCTCTATTAAATGTATCTTTTACTGAGCTGATAGAAATTCTTGCTGAAAGGGTATGAAATAATTCCCATTGTTGGAGTGTTATAACTGCTCTGATAAAGTGCCCCTTAGCCCTGTCTTCCTCTGACAACTAAACTACCAATCAGGCATGCAGTGTTATTACCTGCAGCATACCTCACTTACTAAATACAAAGTGAAGCAAACTCTTGTTTATCTCCCTCTTTGATTCCGTCTTTGAAAATTATGAGAGTTAAAAAGTGAGTAAAGTTATTTTAAAGGACACTAAAGTTCTCTCAAGATAATGTGCTTATAGAATTATAAAATGAAAAGAACACTGAAAGGATTTATTTGAAAGGATTACAGGGAAGGAGAATAAAGGGAAGGAAGTCAAAAAAAGCAAAGATTTCTAGGATTAAATGTTTTGAAAAAAGGGCATGGATGCAGATTATGCTCTTTGTTATATAAAAAAACACACCAAGGAGCTGTTCACAATTTCCAAAGTGTTGGGCTGAGAATGAAATTTGCAGAGCAGCATTGATGACTGAGTGGAACAAGGAAAACTTTGAAATGTATGTGAAGCAAGAAAAAAAAATGAGGCAAGTAGAATTACTTGGTTTTCAAGGACTAATAAATGTGTAATATTGAATTAGAGATATTTTAAAAAATGAAAAGGGAGATTATATTAGTTGACACATAATCCTGTTTTGAAAATACTCTCAGAGACACATGACCACTGTGATGAGGAATCTGGGCAGTTTCATCAATTTTAATTTCTTATGGTCATAATCGACAGATTATTTTTGGTGAAATTAAACAAAAATAATAAACCTGAGGGAAAACAGAGACATCTGTGCAACTAATCTTTTCAGCATTTGTAATAATTTATATTTATATACGTTTTTAATTAGAGAAAATATTAAAATCTATGTACTTCCAATATGACAGATACCTTACAAATGTTACTTTATTAAAAACTAGTAACAGATTTGAAACATTTGTATTAGGATCTGTGTTTTAGAGATAGGAGAAATTGTGGGGAAATTTTACTCATAAGTATTACATGACTGTGCATAATCATAGCTACCTCCTTCCTACTAAAGGGCCACACATAGCTTTACTGTTATATAACTTCAAATCCTATGATAAAAGAGATGTAAATTTGATTATTCTGTGTTTCCTCAACTATATTCCAAAGGTGTAGTTGGATTTTTTTTTTTTTTTTTTAAGAGTCTTGCTCTTTCACCCTGGCTGGAGTGTAATGGTGAGATCTTGGCTCACGGCAACCTCCACCTCCCGAGTTCAAGTGATTCTTCTGCCTCAGCCTCCTGAGTAGCTGGGATTACAGGTGTGCACCACCATGCCCAGCTAATTTTTATGTTTTTAGTAGAGATGGAGTTTCACCATATTGGCCAGGCTGGTCTTGAACCCCTGACATCTGGTGATCTGCCCACCTAGGCCTCCCAAAGTGCTGGTATTACAGGCATGAGACACGGCACCTGGCCGTAGTTGGATTTTTACTTCCAGCTATAATAGAATAACTGAAACCAGATTTATCCTTTCATCAAAAACTATGATAAAATTGGACAAAATATATCAGGCAACAGTTTTTAGGCACTGACCAACAGACCACTCGTGCTTATAATCCTAGAAAGAAGAGAAACACATGAGGGCAGTGCCATGATATCAAGAGGTTTCTACCTGGAGACATTTTTGTGCCAATGTTCATGAAGATGAAATACAAGCAGAACTGTGGTTTCACTGAGCAGATAACACAAATACTGGACTGTAAAACTGACAAGAATTTAAGGACAGTTGTTCTGAAAAGGAAGAATTGTGTGGGAGAAGAGGGTCTGAAAGAAGATTCATCACAGATAATTAACGAAGGTCTTGGCAACTTATGCTCACACTTTACAAGATTACCTGCTACAAAGCTAAAAGATGAATGGGGCTAGGAAAGGCTGTGTAGTATGGGGAAACATTAGATTTATGATCTATCCAGAGTGAAGAAACCTCATTGAGTCCTTGGTTTGATCCCAGAAAGGACAAGCCTTTGGAGTAAATAAAGCACCTAGAGCAATTACCACAATCTAAGTCCGATATATAAAGCAAAATAGGCCTTCCCTAACCAGGAATAAAATGAAGTTTGACAGAACCAGGAAGATCCAACAGGAATTTCTTCTCAGTGTGTGAGAGGAGGTAGCCAGGCAGACATGAGCAAGGCAGGAGAGTGCCCCCGCCAAGGAATATCAGACGACCATCAGGTGATGGTCAGGAAATTGTTAAACTGTCTCTCTAAACTAATAAATAGACACAGCTGGTGCCAGGAAAAGGCACATTCCCAGCAGACAGAAAACACCTGAAGCTGGTGATCAGCCGGTTCCTAAAGAGATCACAGGAGTTGGGTGACTGGGCTCAAGCATGTGGACTGAGAGGCAAAATGGCAGTTTAACTGGTAAATTATCTTCCTCTAGGAACACTTGACTGGTAAGTGAAAAAAATGCCTCTAATAAGCATGCACACAACTTCAGTAAACACACTGCTTATGCACTACTGCACATGAGAACAGCCTGCCCCAAGGTAAAATTAAGGGAAGAGAGAACCATGCCAATGTATAAAACCCCAAGTTGAAGGCCGGCAGTACATTTGGATCCCTCAAGTCACCTGTTTAGCCCTCTTCCAAGTGTACTTTACTTCCTTTTGTTTCTGTTCTAAAACATTTTAATAAGCGATTATTCCTGCTCTAAAACTTTCTTGGTCTCTCACTCTGCCTTATGCCCCTTGGAGGAATTCTTATCTTTGAGGAGGCAAGAATGAAGTTGCTGCAGACCTGTATAGATTTGCCACTGCTAATATACTTCAGTGGCATGTGACTTGGATACATTTCCCAGTGTTAAGATACCTCTATGCCTTGCCTTCTTTGCCTGGAGGTGATCAACCTCCGTAAACGGTTTGCTTCTCACCCTTCACTCTCCTGCTTACTAACCAACCCCCAGAATGATTCCTCATGGCCACAGTGGCTCTACTTCCCCTGGCAGATCTCTCAGCTCACGGGGTGGAAAGGACTTGGGCATCTGCAGCAAGTGGACCTGAGACACTAATGGCCTCCTGGACAGGACGCTCAAGACAGTGACAGGGCTAAAGCCTAAGACCAGGCAGTGTCTGGGTTTTCGTCTGCTTTTTCAACTGCATTTGGCTCTTTCCCCAAAACCTGCACTGCCTACCCTCCTGTTTTATTCTGTATGTAACCCGAAATGGGCTTGCACACTGGCTGGACACTACCTCGTGGGCAAGTGTGCCTTTTATCTGCTTTCACTTTGCATACCAGGTTACTTCCTTCTCTGCCTTAAATACACACTCACTGTTTGTTATTCGTGCACCTGTGGCACTTGCTGCTTTGCATGGCAGCAAAGAAATGGTCTCCCTTGCAGATGTCTGTTGGCTCATTACCAGGACAGACACTAATCAGAAGCCCGATTCTGCCAGCTCCTTATGACTTAAAATAAGCTTTTCATCCCTGTTACGCTCCAGGGTTGAATTTTCTGGTGGGTTTTGAAGTATTTTGTTTGTCTGCATGAGACCTCATTCTGTGGCCCTTTAAGCACTCAACCAACTTGCTTTTTTTGAGTTAGCACCCCCTCGTGAGGAAGAAAAATTCTTCCTTTGCTATTTGTGAGCCCTTATCCCAGGCCCCAAGTGTTCCAGAGGTTCCTCCTTTATGTCAAGAGGGCAAATAAACATTGCCCTTTCAAATAAAAGGGCTTCCATTTTTTGAGAGTATATGAAGGCTTTCCAAGTATTCCTCTCACTTCCTCCTACTTCCTTCTACAGCAGGGAGATTTTCCTGTCTGTTTAAGCATTTGTTCTGCATGTTACCCCAGGAGGAAGAGGAAGCCAAAATAGAAATTTTTCCTTTTCCAGAATCACTTCCAAGCCTTTCTCATTATGCATCAAGACCTTCAAGGTCATATTCGAAGGTAGAGAAGTCCAGCTCCTTGCGGCAGTTAGCTGAAAAACAGGCTTTTCATCTACTTAGAGAACATGGGAAGCGGTAATCTGAGAAAAGAGATAATTATTTTGTTGCTAGAATGCTCCAAGTGAGAGTCACTATAAGGTCCTGGAGACAAGGATATAAGCCGGCCCAAAGCCACAGGACAAGAGACAAAAGTATGCATTGGACAGAGATGAAGGCTGGTCCTAGGCTACAGGCACAGAACAGATTACCATCAGAACAGAGATGCAGGCAAGGTTAGGGGTACCTGGTAGGACTGGTTCATTCTCAAACCCCCAGGATGAATAGGGGGGGCCCTGTTTACTCCACTATCTCCTCTTTTTTCTAGTAGGTAATCTTGATGAGATAGGACCAAACTTAAGGGTACCTAGTGAGATTGGTTCATTCCAGAACCCTAAGGGTGAATGGGGACATCCTGTTGAGGGGACATCTGTTGAGGAAAGAATAACAGGGAAATAAGAGGGGACACCTTCTCTTTTCTTTTTATTTCTCCTCTGTTCTCTCTTCACAGATGAGCAATCGCATCTCCATACCACATGACATACCCCTTTGATGCATCCTCAAAAACTTGGGAAAGTTCAGTTTCCTGAAACTTTAAAACAAAAAGCTAGATTTTCTTTGTAATATGGTTTGGCCTAAAAATGAACTGGGAGAAAATTACAAAAGTCAGCCTCAGAACCCAATGCCCCTATATAGGAAATTCTCAAATTAACCTCCTCAGTTATTTAACTGAGATAAGGACAAAGAGGACAGGGCTAAGGAGAAAGAGAAGCATAGAGATGAGAGGCAGACTCAATGACTGGCTGGTTTACAAGACTGCCAGCACCCTCCAGGTTGCCCTAAGAACACTCCTTCAGGTAACAGCCATTATTAGTATGGGGAAGCCAGGCCACTGGAGGCCAAACTGTCCCAATGGGATAAATGGCAAAAAGCCCTGCATAGCTTGCCCCTTCTGCTACAAGCACAGCCATTGGAAGTGGAACTGCCCTGAGGGTTGAAGGACCCTGGGATGGAATCAGAACCCCTAATGGCCTTGAGTTGAAGGGACTTCCTGCTTTGGCTTGCTTCTAAATCAGACATTGCCATTAACAGGACAATACAAAGGGCAACTCTGGAGGTGGAAAGTAAAATTATAAATTTCCCTTTTGAGTTTAAGAGCTGCCTACTCTGTGCTAATCTCCTTCTCTAAGCAGCTTTCCTCCAAATCATGTCTGGTGATTGAGGCAAATGACACCTTCTAACTCCAAAAAAAAAAAAAAAAAAATTCACACCCCTTTATACTGCTTAGGGGACCAAATACCATTCTCTACCAGTCGCTGGTAATGCCTAAATACCCTATAACCCTTTGAGATGTGTGTCTGCTTAATATTATTCAACCTCTGAATTCATCTTTCCCTAATATAGCCCTATTTCTCCTGAGAAAGTTACCTAAATCTTTAACCAATGACTTCAAACTGGAGAGTCCTACCTCAGGGATTTAAAAATAGCTCACCCATATTCAGACAAGCCCTAGCAATAAAATCTAACTGAGCAATCTCTTGATGGGGGATAATTTCTACAGTATGTAGATAACTTATCCTTATCTGCTTCCCCTTCACAGTACTCACATAGCAACAAACCATAACTTTCTAAATTAATTCTAATATTACTTTTGTATAATTCAAAGGTTATAAAGGTAAAAAGGTATTTTTGATAAGAAATGTTACCAAAAAGAGACTTTATACAGAAAAGGATCTTACTTGGTAAATTCCTGTCCTAAAGTAAGTAAAACAAACAGTTGTTTGCAAAGAGGGATGTTTAAGACAAGTTAGAATGTTTAAGCATGTGATAGATCATCTACATTATGAAAATATTAATGAAAGGGAATTTATTAAAAAGCGTTGTACAATTTTGATTCCAAGTCAAAGGCCAAACAGTGCACTTGGTTCTCTCAAGTCACCTGCTTGGCCATCTTCAAAGTGAACGTTACTTCCTTTTGTCCCTACTGTAAAAGTTTTTAACAAACTTTCATTCATGCTCTAAAAGTTGCCTTGGACTCTTACTCTGCCTTATGTCCCTCAGAGGAATTATTTTCTTTGAGGAGGCAAGAATCGAGTTGCTGCAGACTCATATGGATTTGCCACTACTTACAAATGTACGTAAAATATTCTGGGCCATAAAATGAGTTTCAATGACTTTGAAATTATTGAAATCTTACAGAATGTGGTCTCTGACCAAAACTGAATTAAACTGGAAATCAATAGAGAAAGATATATAAAAAATTACTACATATATGAAAATTCAACAACACATCGATTAACACATTGTTCAAAGAGTAAATTAGAAAATATTTGAATCCAAACAAATACAATTGTGGAGTCAAACAAAACAGTAACTTTAAAGAAGTTTACAGCTTTAAATGTTTGTTATAAAAAGTACAAAAATTTAAAATAAGTGATTTGTTTCTACATATTTTACTTATTTTCTATCCTAAAGTAAGTAAAATAAACAGTTGTTTGAAAAGAGAGATGTTTAGGACAAGTCAGAATGTCCAAGCCTAACATAGATGGTATACATTGTGAACATATTCATAAAAGGGAGTTTACTAAAAAATGTTGTACAATTTTGACCACATGTCAAAGACCAAACATAAGGAGATGACAAAATAAGGTCAAATGAGACACAAACAGTGTATATAGAAGTAAATGATAAAGATAAGAGATAAACTCAATAAAATAGAAAATGAATAATAGAGAAAATTAAAGTAGCCTAAGTCAGTTCTTTGAAAAGATTAATAAAATTGCTAAAGATTTAATATTAATCAAAAGAAAGGAGAAAATGTATTTTGAATTTCAGGAATGAATGAAGTGATATCACTGCAGATTTCACATATATTAAAAATAATAAGGAAATATTTAAACAACTTTATGCCAGTAAATTTGACACAACTGACACAAGAAATATAAATCTAAGTTATTGACTATCTAAATTTATAATAGGAACTTCACAAAAGCATGCATATCAATGACTAAATGCATGTGAAGAGGGGCTCAATATCAGAGAAATGCAAATTAAACCAGGTGATACCACTTTACTGTCTCTAGAATCACTATGATTAAAGAGATTATCAACATAAAATGTTGGTGAGCATATGGAACAACTGTGAATTTCAGATATTTTTGGTGGTTGTGTAATATGGTACAACCACTTTGGAAAATAATTTAGTAGTTTCTTATAAGTTAAATAAGTATCAATGGTCTAAGAATTCCTCTTGTAGGATTTTACCCAAGGCTAACAGAAACATAGATTCAAAAGATACTTGTTCAAAACTGTTTGTAGAAACTATTTATTCACCTATTTATAAATTCCAAAATCTAAAAATTTTAATGGGAAATTGGGTAAATAAACTTTTTAAATTTAGAATAATATACCACTAAGCAATAATAAAGAAAGTACTACTGATTTTGAAACTGCCTCTACAAAATTATGACAGTAAAAGAAATATGACATAGTTGACTCCATCTTGAGGCTAACCTCCAAGATGTCCTTGTTCATACTGGCTTTTTGAGATGTCTTTTCAGACTTCTGCCTTTTTGACCACTGGCTGACTCCACCAGACCTAGGACTGATTCAGCTGTTTCAGTGGCCCCCACACAGAGTCTGAGGCAGCACATAAGGACAGTTTTTTTACACCCCTATAATTTTATCCTCAACCAATCCACATTCCCCATTCCCTAGCCCCATGCCCACCAAACTGTCCTTTAAAGACCCTAACCTAAGAGCCTTAGGAGAGATTGATTTGAGGAGTAAATCTGTCTCCCTCATAACCAGCCTTGTGTCAATTAAACTCTTTTTTTATTGCAATGTCATGATCTCAGTGAATTAATTATGTCTGTGCAGTGGGCAGGAAAGGAACCATCAGTCAATTACAATTTTGCAAACAACATAGATGGATCTCTAAAACATGCTCTGCAAAAGAAATCAGACACAAAAAATTTTACTCACATGAAATTTAATAACTATGTTGAGAAAAAACATAACATTTGTTACTTATAGGAGGAATGCAGAGGGACCAGAGGGGTAAAGGAAATTTTTTGAAAAAGTGAAAATAATCTCTGTCTTTTTGGGGGTTAGGTTTGAGAATGTAAATCTCTGTTAAAACTTGTCAAATTGTTCACTTAATATCCCTGCATTTCACTCTGTAAAATTTACCTCATTAAAAACTATATACACACCTATATATTTATACATATGGCAAAAATTAAGAAAAAAGATAATTATATACACAAATATTTGATAATTTTCAATTACTCAATTTTCAAATGGTTAAAATGACACCTAGGAGATAAAATTGCTAGCCCAGATTTTGGTCATTATTAGAAAAAAATTATACATGTCTATGTACACGTAAGTATTGTATACATATATTTTTATGCACATGAACACACATATGCTTACAGTCACCAACTTGCAACAGTTTGACTTATAATTTTTCTTTTGATGGTACATAGATGATATGCATTCAGTAGAAACAGTACCTTAAATTTTAAATTTTGATCTTTTCCTGGGCTGGTGGTACTCTATTCTCTTGAGTACTCTCTAAAATAATGATTAAAACTATAGTATAATAAGTTAATAAAACAGTGTCACAATAGTTTTAGGATTATTATCAATTATTATGTGCTGTACATAATTGTATGTGCTATGTTTTTATATGACTGGCAGCGCAGTAGGTTTGTTTACACCAGCATCACTACAAACATGTGAGTAATGTGTTGTGCAATAACATTAAGACAGCTGTGATGTCACCAGGTGTCAAGAATTTTTGAGCTCCATTATAATTTCATGAGCCCATAGTCATATATATGTGGTCTATTATTTACCAAAACATAATTTTGTGGCACATGACTATATTTTATTTATTTATTTCTTTGCTTAATCTTTCTAAAAATCTTATACAATTTGTTCCTGAGATATGTATGCAGCAAACAAATTAGATTGTGTTTTTTAATAAACCTTGAAAACAAAAGAATAAAAGATTTTTGCTTTGTTAATATTTGCATAGTAAATACATAGTATAGCATTAAGCTCTTAGCACTATACTTTCCCATAGTAATATGTAAAATGAAATATATACACACATACACCTATACATGCATATATATTTCAGCTATAGTTAAGATAAAACAATTAATGAAATTTAAATGACCTAACCTCTGCATGCGGTTTTAAAATACACACACAAACAGTAGGGAGAATATTTTTATTTTGAAAAATACAGTTAAAAATAAATAATAAATGTAAAATTTGAAATCACTTTGATGTAATAATTTATAGGTAAAATTAATGATGTTAGTTCCTGCCAAATACTATGAAACAAGAAAAAATACCATAAGATGAGACATTTTAAATAATTATTTAGGTATAACAGGCATAAGTGATAGAATTGATGGCAAAACAGGGTAGAGATTTTTTTCTCTACTCTCTAAAGTACAGGAAAACATATATGTGTTATAAATGAACAGTTCATATATAATTTTTAATATACATACTGAATTAGTCAGGATTCTCCAGAGGACTAGAACGAATAGGATATAGGTAAACATGAAAGAGAGTTTATTACAGAGAATTGACTCATGCAATCACAAGGTAAAGTCCCACCATAGGCCATCTGCAAGTTGAGGAGCAAGGAAGCCAGTAGTGGATCAGTCCCAGTCCCAAGACCTCAAAAGTAGGGAAGCAGACAGTGCAGCCTACAGTCTGTGGCCAAAGGCCTGAGAGCCCCTAGAAAACCACTAGTGTAAGTCCAAGAGTCCAAAAGCTGAAGAATTTGGAATCTGATGTTCCAGGGCAGGAAGCATCCAGCACAGGAGAAAGATGAAGGCTGGAAGACTCAGCAAGTTCTTCTTCCACCTTCTTCTGCCTGTTCTATTCTGGCTGTCCTGGCAGCTGATTAGATGGTGCCCACCCAGATCGAAGGTGGGTATGTCTCTCCCAGTCCACTGACTCCGATGTTAATCTCCTTTGGCAACACCCTCAAAGACACATCCAAAAACAATACTTTGCATCCTCAATCCAATCAAGTTGCCACTCAATATTAACCATCACAGATCCACCCCGTCAACTTGAACCCATACACATCTCCTGAAATCATACATAATCTTCAAATAAAGACAGTAATAAGTTCATAATTATGCCTAACATGATACGGCTGTCCCTCATACAACAGGAAGCACACTATTCTTTAACCTAAGAGGTATTACATAAAGTTAACAATACTTAAATGCTGACGTGAAGTTAATAAATCTTATGTCACATAATAAAGGAAAAAGAAATGAAATAAAATGAAGATATTTTCTTAGTGCAAGAGTATACATGCACAAACATATTCTTAACAAAATAAGGAAGAAATATTCTTGACAATTACAGTTCTCATTTCTGCAACAGGTCACATGGTCATAGCTAGCATTGATGACTACCTTCTTTTACTACCCATTCTGTATTCCCTTTGCCTTCAGCAACTGACTCAGTGGGTCATGGTTTTTCACCTGGTGGAGTGACCCAAACCTTCATTTCTTAAGGGTATGAGCCATTTGTAGTCCTGCCTGGATTGGGATGTTGTAGTTTCCCATTGACCTTAATTACAGGGCATGGTAATACTAAGAGACATCCTAAGGGATTTCCTATATTCCAGACATACTCTTCCTTACCTCCATTGTGGAGTAGTAGACTGATTTCTTCTTGATAGTCCAGGTGAGTCATCCCAGCAAATGCCGTAACTCCCTTCTTAGCCTATTGTCTTAGAGGTAGGAAGAGCCCCAAGTGGCCAGGTGGCAATCTTAACTTCCAGTTTAATGGAACCATTTTTGTGTCTTCTGGTGGCAGCATTCCTCCCTTAGGAACTAAGACCTCTAGGCCAGAAGAACATAATGTCACTGGAACAGGAAGCAAGAATTTTGCTAGTGGGTCACTGGGGGTGATGGTGAGCGGTGCCACTTCAACTTCCACTCCTTCATTCCAGGGCCTATGAGTCCTGGATATGGGAGAAACAGTACCATATATTAGATGCCGATTCTGAGCATATACAGATTCCTGGAGAACTTTGCCCTATCCCTACAAAATATTGCCACCTGGTGGGCACTGTAATTGTGACTTCAAAAGGCCATTCCACTATTCTATCAATCCATCTGCTTCAGAATGATGGGGGAACATGGTAAGATCAGTGAATTCCATGAGCATGAACCCACTGCCACACTTCTTTAGCTGTAAAGTGAGTGCCTGGGTTAGAGGCAATGCTGTGTGGAATACCATGATAGCAGATAAGGCATTCCATGAATGCATGGATGGTAGTCTTGTCAGAAACATGGTGTGCAGGATAGGCAAACCCATGCCCAGAGTAACTGCCTATTCCAATGATGACACACCACTGCCTTTTCCAAGATAGAAAGGTCCAATATAATGAACTTGCCATGATAGGCCATCTGAAAGTTATTAAACAAGGAAGCCAGTAGTGAGTCACTTTGAGTCCCAAGGCCTCGAAAGTAGGGAAGCCGACAGTGCTGCCTACAGTCTGTATCCAAAAACCCAAGAGCCCCTGGCAAACCACTAGTGTTAAGTCCAAGAATTTAAAAGCTAAAGAACTTGGAGTCTGATGTTCCAGGGCAGGAAGCATCCAGCATGGGAGAAAGATGAAGGCTGGAAGACTCAGCAAGTTCTTCTTTTCCCTTCTTTTACCTGCTTTGTTCTGGCAACTCTGGTAGCTGATCAGATGGTGTCCACCCAGATTGAGGGTGGGTCTGCATCTCCCAGTCTACTGACTCCAGTGTTAATCTCCTTGGGCAACACCCTCACAGACATATCCAGAAAAAAACTTTGAAATCCAATCAAATTGGATTGGATTCATTCCAATCAAGTTGACACTCAATATTAACCATCACACATATAAACTATATTTTACACAGGGGGGTCCAATCTTTTGGTTTATCTGCACCATATTGAAAGAAGAATTGTCTTGGGCCACACATAAAATACAATAACACTAATGATAGCTGATGAGCTAAAAAAATAAATAAATAAGTCTGTGCATAAATATCGTAATGTTTTCAGGAAGTTTAAGAGTTTGTGTTGGGCCGCAATTTACACACATAAATTCACCTAAGTGGCTCTCCAACTTGTCTTTAAAAAGTACGAATTTCCATATTAAAGTAAATGGACTGGCAGTCTTAAGTATTTGTGTTTGTGATTCATGTTGTAAAAGATACATATTTTCCACTATGGTATAATTTTAAAATATATTTGAACTGGAGTATATTAACCATAGTATATTTATCATAAAATATATTTAAAATATATTTTAACTGGAGTATATTAACTACAGTATATTTACCATAAAATATATTTAAAATATATCTTAACTGGAGTATATTAACTATAGTATATTTAACTGACCAGATATGATCAATATGCTAGTATCAGTTAAATCTGAGTTATGAGTTTTAGCGTTTTTTTTTAAATGTGGGTGTCTATGTTTGCTTTTAATTTTATAATGAGCGTGAATCATTCATCTTGAGAGTGTTGGGAAACTGTTATTAAAAATAATTTTTCCCCATCCCCAAAAACCTTTCCACAAATTTAGTAGAGAAAGAAAACAGTTTTATTGTTGAGTAAGCATTAAAGCAGGATATAATGTGCATCACAAGCCATCTCCTAAGAAATTCTCTTAATTTTCACTCTTTTATATGACCAGGCAGTTACAACAATATCATACATATTCTCTTTTTTTTTTTTTTTTTTTTGAGATGGAGTCTTGCTCTGTTGCCCCAGGCTGAAGTGCAGTGGCATGATCTTGGCTCACTGCAAGCTCCACCTCCCAGGTTCATGCCATTCTCCTGCCTCAGCCTCCCCAGCAGCTGGGACTACAGGCGCACGCCGCCATGACCCGATAATTTTTTCTATTTTTAGTAGAGACGGGATTTCACCGTGTTAGCCAGAATGGTCTCAATCTCCTGACCTTGTGATCCGCCCACCTTGGCCTCCCAAAGTGCTGGGATTACAGGCGTGAGCCGCCCTGCCCGGCCCATACATATTCTTAAGGTGAACAAAAACTAGTTCTCAAGTGGAGAACTTGACAGCACCATTTGTCACACATAATTTATTCTAGATTCACCTGGTAATTAAAGTGACCATTTGTGCTAGCTAATTGGCTTTATCCAGAGGAAAAAGAAACTTCTCATATCTTTATGAGGAGGTAGTTGTGCAACTTGGATGAAGGGGCGCACTGAAGTCAAACTCTGATCTTTCCACAGAGACTATGCCTAGAGGCCCTATCTCCCTTGTTTACATACTGAATGGATGGTTCCTGAATCTTCAAGAAAGGCATTCCTGAATCACAAAAGGGCTATCTAGTTTTCAAAAAAAAAAAAAAAAGTGCATATTTTAAAGAGAGGATAAAGTACTTATAATTTTTTTAAAGTAAATGCTGGAAGATAAAAGGAGAGAAGTCTCTTTTCAATAGAGATGATTAAGCCTCTTATGTTAATTTTAATTTGTCTCTAAAAGAGGTAAATCACAATAACTTTTAAACTTCAATAAAACATATTATGTCATTTGTTAAACAACTATATGCCAATGAGTACCTTTGTTAAAAAAAAAGGAGCTTACAGTTTCATAGTAAAGGGTGGGTTACTACCCTTTGCTATGGGTAAAGGTGGAGACATTTCACAAGTAATAGTAATGCATCCTCAAATGCACAACATATATGAAAGTGATTCAGTCAGGGCATAAAAGATAGATTATTTCTGCTTAACTTTTAAGAGGCAAGGTTAAGGTAATCTTACCGAGGACTTTTTGGGGGTAATATATAAATTGAGCCCAAAAATGTCCAGGGATTGTCATTTGGACATGGAAGAGAATTTTTTTCTTCAGGTAAGGGGCAGGTGCAAAGTCACTAAATCAAGGCTCAGTATGGTGTGATTTTAACAATGCCAATTGTGCAAAAAATAGAACAGGAAATTGATTAGTAAGACCCAAATCAGAAAGTGCTTTACATAAAAATGCTACTAATTTGATACATAGTTATTTAGAAAACAGAAATCTAGTGAATGTTTTAAAGCAGGATAGTGGCATGAATAGATTTGCATTTTGGATAACTTTCATTTGCGTCCGTGTGAAGATACCACCAAACAGGCTTTGTGTGAGCAGCAAGGCTGTTTATTTCACCTGGGTGCAGGCGGGCTGAGTCTGAAAAGAGAGTCAGCGAAGGGAGGTAGGGGTGGGGCCATTTTATAAGATTTGGGTAGGTAAAGGAAAATTACAGTCAAAGGGGGGTTGTTCTCTGGAGGGCAGGAGTGGGGGTCACAAGGTCCTCAGTAGGGGAGCTTTTGAGCCAGGATGAGCCAGGAGAAGGAATTTCACAAGATAATCAGTTAAGTCAGGAACAGGCCATTTTCATTTCTTTTGTGGTGGAATGTCATCAGTTAAGGCAGGAACCAGCCATCTGGATGTGTACGTGCAGGTCATAGGGGATATGATGGCTTAGCTTGGGCTCAGAGGCCTGGCATTCCTGTCTTCTTATATTAATAAGAAAAATAAAATGAAATAGTGGTAAAGTGTTGGGACGGCAAAAATTTTGGGGGATGGTATGGAGAGATAATGGGCGATGTTTCTCAGGGCTGCTTCAAGCGGGATTCGGGGTGGCATGGGAACCTAGAGTGGAAGAGATTAAACTGAAGGAAGATTCTGTGGTAAGGGGTGATATTGTGGGGTTGTTAGAAGAAACATTTTTCGTGTAGAATTATTAGTGATGGCCTGGATATGGTTTTGTATGAATTGAAAAACTAAACGGAATAAGAGAAGGAGAAAAACAGGTATTAAAGGTCTAAGAATTGGGAGGACCCAGGACATCTAATTAGAGAGTGCCTAAGGAGATTCAGCATAGTCCTACCAGCACACATTATTTATTTACTTTAAGAGTTAAGAGTGGCGGTTTGGGGATAGCACCAGGAGATATCAGCTGTGATAGCTTGGAGAAACAGTGTTAATCTGCAGTGTAAACAAGAGCAGGGCATTTATGAGTAGTTGAGAACGGTGGATAGGAGTATGACTGGACAGAAAATAGTAGGGATGATAAGTTTTTTGGGGCACAGTCTAAGTTGGTCTGGTGTCTGGGATGAGACTGGGGCCTAATAAAAAGGAGCATCTGTACAGGAGCTCAAATGCGCTGTACTTTGTAGCATTCTGAGGACAGGCCTAAATTCTGAGAAGGGAAAGTGGTAAAAGTATTGTCCATTCCTTTTTAAGTTGGTGGCTGAGCTTGGTGAGGTGTGTTTTTAAAAGACCTTTAGTCCGTTCTACTTTGCATGAAGACTGAGGACTGTAAGGGATGTAAAGGTTTCACTGAATACCAAGAGCCTGAACAACTGCTTGGCTGATTTGATTAATAAAGGCTGGTCCACTATCAGACTACATAGAGGTGGGAAGGCCAAACTGAGTAATTATGTCTGACAGAAGGGAAGAAATGACTGCGGTGGACTTCTCAGACTCTGTAGGAAAGGCCTCTACCTATCCAGTGAAAGTGTCTATCTAGACTAAGAGGTATTTTAGTTTTCTGACTCAGGGCATGTGAGTAAAGTCAATTTGCCAGTCCTGGGCAGGGGCAAATCCCTGAGCTTGATGTGTGGGAAAGGGAGGAGGCCTGAACAATCCCTGAGGGGTGGTAGAACAGCAGATGGAACACTGAGAAGTGATCTCCTTGAGGATAGATTTCCATGATGGAAAGGAAATGAGAGGTTCTAAGAGACTGGCTAGTGGCTTGTAACTTACATGGAAGAGATTATGAAATGACGACAGAATAGAATGGGCCTGTGAGGCTAGAAGGATTTATTTTCCTTGATCTAAGAACCATTTGCCTTGTGTGGGAAGAGATTGATAGGTGGAAGTTTCAGCGGGGGAGTAGGTGGGAGTGGCCAGATGAGAAGGAGAAAAACTGAAAGTGAGGGATATAAGTTGGAATGCTAGCTGCTTTTTTAGCTATCTTATCAGCATAAGCATTTTTCTGAGCAATGGGATCTGATGCCCTTTGATGGCCTTTGCAGTGAATGACTCCAGCTTCCTTTGGAAGTAAAGCAGCTTTGAGAAGCGTTTTTATTAAAGAAGAATTAATGATAGAGGACCCTTGTGTAGTGAGGAAACTTCTTGCATGGTGGTGCAGGACATGGAAGGCATATTTAGAGTAAGTATAAATATTGATGTTTAGTCCTTTGGCAAGATTGAGGGCTTGACTTAAGGCAATGAGTTCGGCTTGCTGAGAGGTAGTGGAGTGGGGCAGAGCAGTAGCCTCAATGATAGATGTGGAAGATACTATAGCATAGCCTGCCTTTCCTGGTGAGTGGCGATTAGGCCTGGTGGAACTTGCCATCAATAAAATAAGTGTGTTCAGGGTGAGGAACATGAAAGAATATGGGGAAATGGAGTGAATGTCAGGTGGATCACATAGATACAGTCATGGGGGTCAGGTGTGATATCAGGAATAATGTGGGAGGCCGGACTGAAGTCTTGGCCAGGAACAATGGTAATTGTGGGAAACTCAACAAAGAGTGAGTACAGCTGAAGGAGCCAGGGAGCAGAAAGTATATGTGTCAGGTGTGAGGAAGAAAATAGATTTTGGAAGTTATGAGAACTGTAGAGAGTGAGTGGAGCACAGTTTGTGATTTTAAGGGCCTCTAAAAATATTAGGGCAGTGGCAGCCACCACACGCAGACTTGAGGGCTCGGCAAAACAGTAAGGTCAAGTTTTTTGGTTAAAAGGCTGCAGAGTGCAGTCCTGGTCCTTGTGTAAGAATTCTGACACACAGCCCTGCACTTCGGCTGTGTGTAATGAAAAGGGTTCGGATGAGTCAGGGAGAGTTAGGGTCGGGGTAGTCTCTAAAGCTGTCTTCAAGGAATGGAAAGAGGAGTGAGGAAAGGATTTAGGATCTATGGGGCCAGCTAGGTTTCCTTTTGTGAGTTTTTATAATGGTTTTGTTAGGATGGCAAAACCAGATATCTAGGAAGGAAAAGAGTTGTTGTTTTGTAGAAGGGATTGAGGTTTGGGAGATTAGTCAGACACGATCAGCAGGGAGAGCACGTGTGTTTTTATGAGAATTATGCCGAGATAGGTAACAGATGAGGATGAAATTTGGTCTTGACTGAAGTAATGGGGGCTATCTGTGAAGCCTTGTGGCTGTACAGCCCAGGTAATTTGCTGAGCCTGATGGGTGTCAGGGTCAGTATAAGTGAAAGTGAAGAGAGGCTGGGATGAAGGGTGCAAAGGGATAGTAAAGAAAGCATGTTTGAGATCCAGAACAGAATAATGGGTTGTGAAATGAATAATGTGGAGGGAGGTATTGAGGATAGGAGAGTATATGGGCTTGGCACTACAGGCCAGGTAGGCAAAACAATTTGGTTGATAAGTCTCAGATCCTGAACTAACCTGCAAGGCTTGTCTGGTTTTAGGACAGGTAAAATGGGGGAATTGTTAGGGGAGTTTATAGGCTTTAAAAGGCCACGCTGGAACAGGCAAGTGATAACAGACTTTAATCCTTTTAAAGAGTTCTGTGGGATGGGATATTGGCATTGAGCAGGGTAAGAGTGATTAGATTTTAATGGGATGGTAAGGGGTGGATGATCGGTCACTAAGGAGGGAATAGAGGTGTCTTATACTTGTGGGTTAAGGTGGGGAGATACAAGGGGAGGATGTGAAGGAGGTTTTGAACTGGGGGAAAAGGCAGCAATGAGGTGTGGCTGTAGCCCAGGAATAGTCAGGGAAGCAGATAATATAGTTAAAGTGTCTCGGCCTAATAAGGGAACTGGGCAGGTGGGGATAACTAAAAAGGAGTGCTTAAAAGAGTGTTGTCTAAGTTGGAACCAGAATTGGGGAGTTTTAAGAGGTTTAGAAGCCTGGCTGTCAATACCTACAACAGTTATGGAGGCAAGGGAAACAGGCCCTTGAAAAGAAGGTAATGTGGAGTGGGTAGCCTCCGTATTGATTAAGAAGGGGACGGACTTACCTTCCACTGTGAGAGTTACTTAAAGCTCGGCATCCGTGATTGTCTAGGGGGCTTCCGAGGCAATCAGGCAGTGTCAGTCTTCAGCTGCTAAGCTGAGACGATCTGGGAAGGAGTCAGTCAGAGAGCCTTGGGCCAGAGTTCCAGGGGCTCTGGGAGTGGCTGCCAGGTGAGTTGAACAGTCTGATTTTCAGTGGGGTCCTGCACAGATGGGACGTGGCTTAGGAGGAATCCCGTGCTGTGGGCATTCCTTGGCCTGGTGGCCAGATTTCTGACACTTGTAGCAAGCTCCTGGGGGAGGAGGTTCTGGAGGAATGCCTGGCTGCTGCAGTTCAGGCGTTTGGAAGTTCTTGTGTCCTGGAGATTTGGCTGGGGTTTGTCTGACAGTGGAGGCAAGGAATTGCAACTTTTTTCTATTATTGTACACCTTGAAGGCGAGGTTAATTAAGTCCTGTTATGGGGTTTGAGGGCAGGAATTTAATTTTTGGAGCTTTATTTAAAGTCTGGAGCGGATTGGGTAATAAAATGTATATTGAGAATAAGACGGCCTTTTGACCTTTTAGGGTCTAGGGCTGTAAAGTGTCTCAGGGTTGCTGTCAAATGGGCCATGAACTGGGTTGGGTTTTTCATATTTGATGAAAAAGAGCCTAAACGCTCTCTGATTTGGGATAAAGAAAAAGGAGCATTAACCTTGACTATGCCTTTAGCTCTAGCCACCTTTTTAAGAGGAAATTGCTGGGCAGGTGGGGGAGGGCTAGTCATGGAACGAAACTGTAAGCCAGACTGGGTGTGAGGAGGGGAGGTGATAAAAGGATTATAGGGTGGAGGAGCAGAGGCTGAGGAAGAATTGGGACCTAGCTTGGCCTGGCGAGGAGGGGAGAGGTCAGATGGGTCTGTAGAAAAGGAAGATTAGAAAGACTCGGTGACACTTGGGGTTGGGACTGACGGGACAGGCGGGAAGGAAAGAAGGAAGATTTGGGACGAGTTCCACTGGGAACAGAGACTAGGGAGGGACTAATGTGTAAAAGAATGCTTGGACATCAGGCATCTCAGACTGTTTGCCTATTTTATGACAAGAATTATTTAGATCTTGTAGGATGGAAAAATTGAAAGTGCCATTTTCTGGCCATTTAGAGTCATTGTCAAGTTTGTATTGGGGCCAAGCGGTGTTGCAGAAGAAGATAAGGCATTTAGGTTTTAGGTCAGGTGTGAGTTGAAGAGGTTTTAAGTTCTTCAGAACACAGGCTAAGGGAGAAGAAGGAGGGATGGAGGGTGGAAGTTTGCCTACAGTGAAAGAGGCAAGCCTAGAGAAAAGAGAGAGTAGAGACATGGAGGGAAGGGTTTGAGGGGTTCTTACTTTCTAGAAAAGCGGGAAAGGGGTCGGGGCGTGGAAATAAGGGATCAGGGTGCAGAGATAAGATGTCGGGGCATGGAAATAAGGGATGGAGCACAGAGATAAGAGGTTGGGGCGTGGAAATAAGGGATCAGGGCCCAGAGATAAGAGGTTGGGGTGCAGAAATAAAGGATCCGGGTGCAGAAATAAGGGGTCGGCGTCCAGAAATAAGGGATCGAGGTGCACAGATAAGGGGTCGGGGTGCGGAAATAAGGGATTGGGGGATTCTTGCCCCCTAGAAAAGCAGAGAAGGGGTAGAGACACAGAGAGAAGGAGTTGGGGTTCTTGCCCCTCCTCTAGAAAAGCGGGACTTGCCACTAAGGGTGAAGGAGCAAGGCAGGTGTCCTTGCATGGTCAGACACCTCTGAAACATGGGTGAATAATCAGAGAGGCATCCTTGCAATGATTAAACACCAAGGGAAGGCTGCCTTCCTGAGTCCGTGACCGGCGCCGGAGTTTTGGGTCCACAGATAAAACATGTCTTCTTTGTCTTTACCAGAAAATGAAAGGAATTGAAATTAAGAGAAGGGAGAGATTGAAGGGTGGCACCAAGATTGAAAGGAGAAGGTGGTTGAGGGATAGTGAGAGAGGTTGGAGAAGAGAGTAAGAAGAGACCGCTTACCTGATTTAAAATTGGTGAGATGTTCCTTGGGCTGGTGGGTCTGAGGACCTGAGGTTGTAGGTGGATCTTTTTCAGGGAGCAAAGAGCAGGAGGACAGGGAATTGATCTCCCAAGGGAGACTCCCTGATCTGAGTCATGGCACCAAATTTCATGTGCGTCTGTGTGAAGAGACCACCAAACAGGCTTTGTGTGAGCAACAAGGCTGTTTATTTCACCTGGGTGCAGGTGGGCTGAGTCCAAAAAGAGTCAGTGAAAGGAGATAGGGGTGGGGCCATTTTATAAGATTTGGGTAGGTAAAGGAAAATTACAGTCAAACGGGGGTTCTCTGGTGGGCAGGAGTGGGGGTCACAAGGTACTCAGTAGGGGAGCTTTTGAGCCAGGATGAGCCAGGAGAAGGAATTTCACAAGATAATGTCATCAGTTAAGTCAGGAATGGCCATTTTCATTTCTTTTGTGATGGAATGTCATCAGTTAAGGCAGGAACTGGCCCTCTGGTTGTGTACGTGCAGGTCACAGGGGATATGATGGCTTAGCTTGGGCTCAGAGGCCTGACAATAACTTAATGTAAGGAATCTCTTCTGAGAAAAATTGAATCGGAAGGTTTGCATTTTATCTTTTTCTTAACTACTCAGGCAAGGAAGTCAACTTCCCTGCTAGGTCCTACAGGCTCTCCAACTTGTCTTTAAAAAGCAAAAATTCCCATATTAAAGTAAATTGACCAGCAACCTTAAATATTTGTGTTTGTGACTCATGTTGTAAAATACATGTACTCTGCACTATGGTATAATTTTAAAATATATTTTAATTTTTTTTTTTTTTTTTTTGAATACCAGAAGACTTTTTTTTTTCCTTTTTTTTTTTTTTATTATTATACTTTAAGTTTTAGGGTACATGTGCACATTGTGCAGGTTAGTTACATATGTATACATGTGCCATGCTGGTGCTCTGCACCCACTAACTCGTCATCTAGCATTAGGTATATCTCCCGATGCTATCCCTCCCCCCTCCCCCCACCCCACCACAGTCCCCAGAGTGTGATATTCCCCTTCCTGTGTCCATGTGATCTCATTGTTCAATTCCCACCTATGAGTGAGAATATGCGGTGTTTGGTTTTTTGTTCTTGCGATAGTTTACTGAGAATGATGATTTCCAATTTTAACTTTTATTTTTGAGATTACTAAGATCAATTGAGGCATTTTATTCTGACTATAGCCATCTACATTTCCAGCTTTCTTTGTCATCCTTGTCAACCTGAAATAACAGAAAGGATCAGAATCCAGTTTTAAAAAGTTTATTCAACTGAAAAACTGTGAATAGCTATCTGATAAATATGAACTCAAGAGAAATGGGGTCAGTACTCCAAAGTTAAAAGTTAAGGTCTTGCTTATATAGGCATAAAACAAAACAACTTAGTAGGATTGTAATATTTTCTATACAAGGCTTGTTTATGAGTTACAATAATTTAATTAGTTACAGCTTGTTTTCTTTTTCATACAGCTGATTTTCTTTTGTTGACAGTTTGTTTTAATTTCCTTTCCAACTTAAAAGAGTGTACTTAACATTCCATTTTCGACCATATGAGAATGTTAAGAGGAAAGTTAATCTACAACGAAGGTCAACAGTGAAGAGAAAAGGGGTCTTCCTTGGTGCCCTTTAGTTATTTACAACATTTTACAAAACAATATAAGTAAGGAAGAAGGTGAATCTAGTTAGAGAAACAAAGCTCTTAGCTACCTAGATTACAGCTGCTGTCATGGGACTCACTTCTCATAATCACATGCCCTTGAAACTCAAAAATATTTTACAGTTTCAACAGCTTAGATTTTGAATTACTTATTTTCACACCTTCCAAATGTAGCCTGACTTCTCAATGGCTTCTTATTATGAGGTTTCTTGACTTTCCCTCCTGCATTACTTACCTTGATCTCATTCTGGCTGCTGTCCTTATTGTACCACAGAAGCTGATCTTAGTAATGTTTAATCCAAAATATATTTGTCATTCATCACTGTTCTTCATGTCTTAACAGTAGTTGGGCAAGTTAGCCTTTATTTGTTTGAGACACATTTTTGCCATTGATATTTATAACACTATTGTCCAACATTTTAGTCTCTATTTTTCATTCTCTACTGATGGCCTTTCTATTTTCCTGCCTTTTTGTAAAATGTAAGTATTACTCAGTGTTTTGTTTTGATTTGTTTTTCCTTTTTCCTTTCCATCATATAACTTCTATCTGAACTATGCCCTGCATTCTAATGGCTACCATCTAAATGCTATTGACTCAAATTGCTACACTGAGAAGCTTTACTCAACTGTTTTTCAAATATTCCAAACTCTACTCACCAGAACCTCTCTAAAATCATCCTCCACTTGTATATTCCATATCTCAAGCCAGAAACCTGAAGATATTTCATTGCATTTTTTGTCACAGCCTAACTAAATAAATAAATAAATAAATAAAATTTTAAAAAGACCAATTCCTATAGTCTAACTTTGTGAAAACTTAAAAGGTTGTTTCTTTCTCTTCATTTTACTGTCACAAGCTAAGTTCAAAATATCCTCTTGGTTATACCAAAAAAGCCTCAAAAATTGTCTCCCTATCTGCCACGCCTACTGTATACACAGACATTTTCTAATAAACTGAAATTATGCTTCTAAAATTAAAATCATTATTTTTAAGACAATTTTATTTAGTTTGATTTTAAGACATTCTAATTATTTTCAGGTCTTTACTTATATTCTTTTCTACACTTGGCACATGCATTTCCCCACATTTTCACCACCGCTTCTGTTCTTTCTTGGAGGGGTAATTCTGAGTAGTTATTCACTAAAAATATATACAGTAGGTTGAGCCTGGTGTGCTCATGCCTGTAACCCCAGTACTTTGGGTGGCCAAAGTGGGAGGATCACTGGAGACCAGGAGTTCAAGACCAGCCTGAGCAACATAGCAAGACCCCATCTCTACAAAATAAAAATATTATAAAAAGATTAGACCTTGCGATAGTTTGCTAAGTATAATAATAATAAAATTAAAAAATTTAAAAAAAGATTAGAAAAAACATATATATGGTTTCATGCCCAATGTTTTTCTAATCTTCTAGGACTTTACATAAGCTACTGAAACACCCTGCCTTTACTACAACTACTCTTATACTGCTTAGTAGCTAGCTGTATTTTGTGTTACTTACCAAAAGCCAAATGAGTGAGGGAAATATACCTATCATTTATCTACCTCAGGCATATATTACTTCCCTAGTGCCTATTATTGTCTGCCTGGCAGAACCTGAAAAGTATTTCTGATTTATAATAAGTATTCAAGATAGTAAATGGTAAAAAGAGAGTATCAGGTTTTTGTTCTTTAGTTACTGTTCTGTAGGGAAATTCATGAGCTTTGGTACACGATAGTTCACCAGCCCATCACTGAGAAGTGTAACATAGAGGAAAAATGACATTGAAGTATGTACTCAGGAGGGCAGACTTTGATGGACAGAAGAGAGGTGGCTAGAGGAAAGTGAAAACTGTTTAAAGAGAGGGGAGTTTGCCATATGTTCAAGATCGTGATATTAAATGCATACTTTTGAAAGATAATGTGCTTTTTAGAGGTCCATTTTTGGCCTCTGCTTGGCAAATTCATCTCAAATATTTCTCTCTGTTTATTTTGGACTGTCTCAGATTAACATAACTTCTTTTAAAATAGGCCATGATGGACAAAACTGCTTAAAAGGTTTGGGTACTTAATAGTAACCTTCTGAAGTAGGATGATTTTTTTTTTTAAATTAGTCTCTATTTTACGGATGAGCAAAGTGAGGTTCGGAGGTTAAAACACAGGTCACGTAGTTAGTAGGAATAAAACTTCTGTCTTGAAACCAATTGTACATTTTACTGCCACCAACTTTGAATCTCTAGTTTTCAAAAGCAAGCATTATCTTACTCCCTTTCCTAGTCTACAATTAAATTTTATCTTAAAACCGAGACTTTTAAAACCATGTGAACCTATCACATATTCATTTATTCTTAGCTGCTGTATTTTAAATATCCATTTTTTAATTAGAATTAGAGTGTGTATGTTTTATTATTTTTTTAAAGCTGATTTTATTTCTAATTTTGAAGGTCATTTTTAGACTATCTTATATAATTATCTCAAAAACGTATTGAGGAACTGAGACTATATTGGGATATAAAATTTGGAAAATGTCTAATTCTGAATGAAGAAGAAAATTTGAAAATTCTAAGTGTCTAAGACTTATAATAAGTATGACATTACATAGCAACAGGAAAAATATTTCTGCTTTATACCAACATTCCTGTTAAATTAAGTATTTAAAATGTAAAAATTGGAAGTCAAAAAAGTACAAAAGAAGACATGAAGCTGTGTGCTTATACAAATTTACATGTAGTTATGTTCTGTATGAATAGTATATTGTTTCTAGATATGAAGACTCTTTTCTGCCCAGAAACCATAAATTGAAGCACAAAACTTAATACTTTCTCTCAGGCAAAATTTTATTTTATAAATAAAGCTGAAATTTAAGTAAAAACATGAGGAATATTAGGGGTATTTGTAAAATTTACCAGAGTTAAGGGACTGCGATATTATAAAAATAACAACAAACTACTTAAAAACATAGAAAGGATATGGTTCCACAGTGCAGAGAAAAGTAAATTCAAGTAGTTCTCAGATAGAAGGATGCAGAGCATAATTTATAAACATGCATATCAAAATTTTGAGATTTTATTTCTTCATTTGTCAGTATGAAGATCAAAAAGATTTATAATCTACACTATGTAATTTAATGTGGAAGTAGATACTCTCTTGTTTTTTAAAAAGTGAGAATGCAGGCTAGGTGCAGAGGCTTACGCTTGTAATCCCAACAATCTGAGAGGCCAAAGTGGGAGGATTGCTTGAGCCCAGGAGTTTGAGACTGGCCTGTCCAGAATAGTGAGAGCCTGTATTCACAAAAAGTAAGAGGAAATCAACTGGGTATGGTGATGCTTGCCTATAGTCCCAACTATTCAGGAGGCTGAGGCAGGAGGATCACTGGAGCCCAGAAGTTCAAGTTTGCAGTAGGCCATGATTGTGCCACTGCACTCCAGCCTGGGCAACAGAGTAAGATATAGTCTCCACAAAAGATTAAAAAATAAATTATCCAGGTGTGGTGGCATGCACCAGTAGTACCAGCAACTCGGGAGGCAACTCAGGAAGATCAACTGAGCCCAGGAGTTTGAGGCTGTAGTGAGATATGATTGTGCCACTTCACTCCAGCCCGCGAGAACCTGTCTTAAAAAATAAAGGCAAGTAAATTGTTGGAACACACAAGAAGGCATATTAGGAATCGTCTATCAAATTTGAAATGAGCATAATTTTGTTGCAGTATATAAATATATATAATTATATATTATATAATATATAATTATATATATTTATAATATAATATATAATACATATATAATTATATATTATAAATATATATAATTATATATTTATTATATATAATATATAATTATATTATTTATTATATATAATATATAATTATATTATTTATATTATATTTGGCATTTTAAAAAAATTAGATTTATTGTGGCCTCTTTGCTAAAGGATATGTATATTTCATTAAATTCTCAACAGGTTAGCAATAACCATTTCAGTATTCTGCGCTGCTCATAGATGAGAGTCACTATTTTTAAACCACCATTGTTAATTTCTTATTTTATATGATCTAAAAAAACACCTCTAGTTGTTTTTTCTTAGATCTTTAATATTTTTCTAAACCAAATTACCTTCTGAAAAAAATTCTTTTTGTTTCTTCTTCAGTACATCCTTTCTAAGTTTTAATTTTTCTCTTTAGATTTAGGTATATTTCTCAACAATCTTCAACTAATCATTCTATTTCCTTGTGAATAATTGGACATGTCCTAGCTGACTAACTTTGTAGTTTAAGAAGCAAAAATATTTTAAATTTATTTTTGAGCAATGTTATCCCAACACATTATAACAATAAAAACATTTATTCACAATAATATTCTACGTTTCAAGTAATTTTTTAACTTAAAAGAGAATATAGTAATCAAAACTGTTTCTACTATGATATAATTTAATAGTAATTCTAGGAACCATAAAGATCATATATATGCATATAATTTATTTAATTAATGCAGTCAGTTTAAAAATACATTATAATTAACATTAAATTTATTCTTTGCTCATTTTATTAGTTTCTAGGATTCCATAATAACTTTTTTCTAAAGAAAATAGTGACTTTTTATTTTAAAAGTATGATTCATTCAGCAACTTATTCAATAACCATAGAGAAGAAGGAATCAATAAAGCAACTAGTTAATTGTGTAAAATGAGTTTTGGTGAAAAGTTTTTTTTCTATCCTAGCTAGGGAACAGTTGTGCTACAAATTCTGAGTATTGATAGTTTTACCGGTGCTGTAATTAGCCAATATTTTAAGCTTTTTTGATTATGCACAGGGAAGGCAAGGCTAGAAGCCTTATTAATTGCAGTCAATATTTTTAAAAGGTGAGAATTAACAGGTACATTCAGTACTACCTTTCTCATATGCTAAGATATTTTACCAATATGTTAAAATACAATGGTGAAGAATAAAATCATAGAGAAAAACACATGAAAAAGAAAATAAAAATAGTGAAGAAATGACCAAAACTGAAATTTATAGAAACTACCCATGGAAGTTCCTTTGAAATAAGATAAGCATGATTCTTGTTAAGAATTTACCACCTCGAACATAATAATAGTCAAATATATATGTATACATGTGGTTTAAGCCTTTGTTATGTGAGAATATGCTCAATCCCCTGACTCTGAATTTTATACTTAAAAATAGCAGCCCCATTACAATAGATAGTAGTCATTTAACAGTATTTCTAGGCTTTCATCAATTGGAAAATTACCTTTCTCACCAGCTCTGCTCAAATCCTGTCATTATTTTTCTCCACCTCCACTCCACTCCACTCCACTCCCAGTCCCCCTTTCCTATATTGATATAGGTACCAAGTCCCATCTCTCTAATATTTTCATTTCGTCATGTCTCCATAACTACTGCTCAAGTTCAGCCCTCCATAACCTCTCAAACTTTCAAATGAATTTTTGGATCAGGCTCTTAATCTATGTCATATATTGTGACCTAACTAGATCTGACCCCTTCTCTAAACAACAGATAGCAACTTCCCCTTCTACATACATTTTCATGTTCCAGTCATATGAAAATTTTCTTAATTTTTCAAATGCACAATGTTTGAGAACCACAGTCTTTCTTCCTCCAAGCCATTACATTTACCTCTTCCTCTGTCATCTCATATTCTTTCTTCCCTTCCTTACTTTCATTTAGATAGCCACACCCATTTGGTTCTTACTTTTCCAAGCGAGCCTGTTCTAATCCCTTGAGAGCTTTAGAACCCTTTCTAATTCAATTTTTACTCCTTTTCCAACACTATTTTGAAGAAATATATAAGTACCAAGATTTGAGCTCACTTATGTTAGAAACCTAGTTTTTCAAATTGTTTATTGGTTGGTTTTTGTATTTCACATATTCACTGGATCAAGCTGAGAACTTTGAATTCAGTCACAGTTGAATAAATATTTATTAAATTAATCCTAAGCAACTGAAGCCTCCTTAAACATAAAGCATACACAAGGAAGGAGAAAGGAGGGTGCTGTGACACTCATCATCTATACTCACTGAATATTTGTCAGAATCAGTTTATACATTTCTCCCTTAGAAACTCCTAAAAATATTTTTTTCTAAAAATGCATGGGAAATAATAATTAAAATAATTTGCTCCTCTCCTAAAGATTGTCAGGTGCAGTAAGGGAAGGGTTGGGTCAGCAGAGAATGAGAAGCAGAGGATTGATCCTATGCCTATTTCAACCAGTTCACATAGCACCAATGGTATTTAAGAAGGAAATGACTTCTACATTCAAGAGCCCTTTAAAATTTATAACATTTGTCAAACAAAACTTTGATATCAAAAAGGCAATTTCAGTAAACACTCTTCAAATCTTTTAAAGGAAATTATTCTGCACATCATTTAAACATTTTATTTTCCTTTAAGTACAGCTGACCCTTGAACAATGTAAGAGTTAAGTGTTCCATCCTCCTACTCTTGCAGTTGAAAATGTGCGTAAAATTTTTGACGTTCAAAAACTTAACTGCTAAGCCTACTGTTGACTGGAAGCCTTACCAACATACATTGTCATTTAAAACATATTTTGTATGCCATATGTATAATTTACTGTATTCTCAGAATAAAGTAAGCTAGGGAAAATAAAATGTTATTAAGAAAATCATAAGAAAAAGAAAATATATTTACTATTATTAAGCGGAAGTAGTTTTTGGCCTTGTCATCTTCACCTTGAGTAGGAAGAGAAGGGCTTGGTCTTGCTGTCTCAGGATGACAGAGACAGAAGAGATGGAGGAGGTGGAAAGGGAGGCAGAAGAGGCAGGCACATTTGTTATAACTTTACAAAAACATGTTGTAATTTCTGTCTGACCTTTTAGCTATTTCATTTCTCTAAAAATGTTTCGATATGGCACCAGTCCTTCTTCCAGAGTTTGCTTTAGTTTTACTGCCTATATTATGGAAGAGTCTAGGTTGTAAAATAAGTCAAAAGCAGTTTTGAATAATAAAAACACTTTGGCCAGATTCTCTAACGTCCTTTTGTTTTCTGACACTGCTTCTTCAATGTCTTCTTTCTCATAATCTGGCACTGGTTTGAAAGCACCCATTTCCATGAAGACAGCTTCTGTTAATTCCTCTCGTGTGGGCTCTATTAGCTCTTTAATTTCTCCAGGATCTTGAAACTCTTGACCCAGCTGCCTCACTTTCTCCATACTCAGAGTCTCTCATGATTTCCTTAATTGGCTCTGTCATAAATCTAGATGCACCATATCTGGACACAGTTTTCTCCAGCAGAAATTTAGTGTTTTGGGCTAAATGGCTTTCATGACTTTTTTCTACAACAATGACAGCACCTTCAATAGTGTAGTCCTTCCAGTTTCATAATGTTTTCTCTATCAGAGTTCTTTTCCACAGCATTGACAACTTTTTTCATAGAATACTTTGTGTAATGAACTTTAAACATGGTGATTAGGCACTGATCTAGAAACTGAATTAGGGACATTGTTTTTGGAATAAATTAGACACTTTAACACTTACAATGTTGAACTCAGGAGGTTCTGGGTGGCCAGGGATATTGTCCAAAATCAAAAAATCTTTAAAATTCATCCTTTACTTGCAAGGTGCTTCCTGACTTCAGGAACAAAGCACCTCTGCAACAAATCAAGAAAAAGAATTTTTATTGTCCAGGTTTTCTTGTTGTACAACTCAAAGACTATCAATTAATGTTAATCTTTTCCCTTCAAGCTTGGGGATTAATAGTTTTATATATAGAGGCAGTCTCCATCATAAACCCAACCATATATGCACAAAATTATAAAGTTATCCTATCCTTTCCCACCTCAAATCTTTACACTTGTTTTTCTTCCTTACTAATAAGTTTCCATAGTGGCATAACTTTTTTCAAGAATAGATATATTAATCTGCATTAAAACCCTGTTCAGGCAGATATCCTTTATCTTTAATAATTTTCTTAATAGCATCTGGGAACTTTGCTACCTCTTAGTTGGTAGAAGGTACTTCTTCTGTTATCTTGATATTTTTTAAGATACTCTTTATAAAATCATCAAACCACCCTTCGTTGGCATTAAATTTTTTGGCTTAGATTCTTTGCCTACATTTTGCTTGAATTTGCCATATAATGACTTCACTTTCTCTCAAATTATTAGTCTGTAGGTGTGTCTTTCTTACAGAAATTATATATCTTTATAAAAGCTGAATTTTCAATATGAGATATTAAAAGGTATTTCATAAAATGTGCAAGGTATTTATTTACCCATGCTGCTGTAGCTGCAACAATGGTTCTATGAATAATTTATTTCTATTTTTTTACATGGTCCCTATGCTTGATTTATTTATATGAAAAAAGTGGGCAACGACCACTTCAGACCTCAATCTATGTTAGAAGCAATTCAAGTTTTTCTCATAATGTCATGACTTTTCTCCACTTCTTAGGAGCACTTCCAGCATCACTAGTGGCACTTCAAATAGATCCCATTGTGCTATTGATGGTTCACAATATTGCACTAAACATGGTAAAAAATATGTGAGAACCATGAGAGATCACTTTGTATTGCAATATGCAATTAACTGGAGAGATGACCTGCCTATGAGATGATGACTAGCATCTCTAGGTGTTTTAAGTGGATGCTTGCAACATTTGAGCTTAACTCAATAACAACACAAGAGGGCTGCAAAATTATTACGGTAGTACAGTATGTTCTACAGTAATCGTATAGTTACAATGTAGTATTGTATTATTGTGTTTACATTCCTTTTGATCATGAATAGCACCATTATGGTCTGTGTTTATGTGCAAAAATTTTGATAAACTTTAAGTTTTTGTAACAGATTTGTGTATATTTTATGACAGTAAAAGATAAAATAGACTAGTAGCTATGTATAGTTTATATATTCATGAGAGAAAAAACTTTTCCTTATTTTTTTCACTATTTCTTGGCTACATGGCTTTTCTGTGAGTTTTTTCAAATTGCAAATTTGCACAAACATTTCTAATATATTTACTGAAAAAAATTCACATATATGTAGACCTGTGCAGCTAAAACCTGTGTTATTTAAGGGTCAATTATAGATTTTCTATGGCTGAATTGGTTGACAGTCAACAGATACATAACGAGATTTTCATTTTCTTCAAAGGGAGAAATATTTCCTAAATTTCTGTTCTATAATCTCAGTTTGGTATTCAAGACCTTTTGACAGTTTTTAAAATTATTGTTAGTAAGCTCCTCATTCACATTTCCAACAATTACTCTAGTCAAGGCTCTACTCATCCTCACAGTCTTCACTCGCAATGCAAAGAAAAACCTTGCATTCTACTTCACTTAAAAATCAACCTATCAAGAATGAATGATTCAACATCCCAATTATCTTCTCTCAAATAAAAATTTATATAATTTAGTCCCTGTCTTAATCTTTTTTAGTGTCAGGAAAAGAGAGGTTCATTATCCTAATCCAATCCAATTCATCCACATGAATCTTAATCTCTTCTTCACTGCATTTCTTCTAGGATCTTGCCTGATCAATTATCATGTGTCTTGTCTCCATCATCAGATTCCCTTCTCTACTTGTCCTTTACCTCTACTTATAACAGGTTTAGGTCTCCTTCTTTGTAAACTCTATTTTGACTATTCATGCATGTGCTCTTCTTTAGACTCTGCTCTACCACTCTCCCTACCTCTCTTTATTTTGCAAGATTAGTGCTGTTTCTCAATTTTAATTCATGCCTCAAATGCACTGCAGTTTGACTTCTGTTGTCATGAATTCATCAACACTAGTATTGACTACTTCTCCATTTTTATCTTCTTGAATATTTCTGCATCCTATGACATTGATAACCATGCTTTCCCCCTGGAAATATGTTTCCCCTGTTTCCATCATATTCTTTGCGCCTAGTTCTCCTATTTTATCCTCCCTTCTTAATCTTCATAATGAGTTCTATCTTTATTTCAACCTATGAAATATTGTATTCTCAAATGTATTTTCAGTGGTTATTGCTGTTTTTCTCTAAAAAAACACAGGGTGATCTCATCCACTCCAATTATATTCCATTGTTTTATATAAGTATATGGATTGTTCCCAAATTTATTTTCAGATTGAACTGTCTTGTGCTCAATAAACCAATACAAGCTGTCCACAAACAGATCCATTTTACTCCTCAAAACTTAACTGCTTTACACGCAGTTAGTGTCATGAGTCATTCAAGTCAGAAACATGAAGTTTATCTTCACATTGCTCAAACTCCTTAAGTGTCCCACCCCCAAATGTTGTTAATTTATCTCTCAAACATTTGAAAAATAAGTCAGCTCTATGTTTGCCTCACCTTGCATGGTAAATCCCTCTTAAGATAACTTTGAAAGGGTCCTGACCTCTGTTGTTTTAGCCATGCCTCAATTTTATCCAACTTTCACACTGCTATAATAATCAATCTAAAATTCCACGTTTATTTGGACTAAAATCGCTGTGTTCAAAGCTCAGTTCTGCTTTTTACTAGCTGTATAATCTTAGGCAAATTACTTAATTATTCTTTGTCTTGGTTTCTTTATCTGTATGTGAGGCTAACAAAGTACCTACCAGGCAGGGTTGTTAAAAGATTAATTAATATATGTAAAGAGTTGTTTTTTTTTTTTTTTTTTTTTTTAAGACAAAGTCTCACTCTGTCGCCAGGCTGGAGTGCAGTGGCGCTATCTCGGCTCACCGCAAACCCCACCTCTCGGGTTCTAGGGATTCTGCCTCAGCCTCCCGAGTAGCTGGGATTACAGGCACGTGCCACCATGCCTAGCTAATTTTTGTATTTTTAGTACAGATGGGGTTTCACCATGTTGGCCAGGATGGTCTCGATTTCTTGATCTCGTGATCCGCCCGCCTCAGACTCCCAAAGTGCTGGGATTACAGGCCTGAGCCACCGCACCCAGCCAATATATGTAAAGAGCTTTGAGCAGTGTCTAGCGCATAGAAAAGGTTAGGTATCGCATTATTTCTTATTCCTGCTTATTACCTTTTAAAATGTGGAACAGGCGTCTCATAGAAAATTAATTGTTAGTAATTGTATATACAACCCAGCTTTTTGTACTTAGGACTGGGATTAACAGGTTTATGTACCATGCTATGAATCTTGTTTACGAACTAGTTTGAACATTTGATTCACTTAGTATGAAGTTTCCCTGACACGCTGCTGCCTTGAAGTGGTCACAGAAGTTCTAGCGCTTCACTAAACAACAGTACCTATCAGAAGATGAGTTTGGGTTCCCTATATCAACAACAGGATAACTACTCTCTGTTGTTACCTTCCCCCTTCTGCTATTTAATTTTATCAACAAATAATTTAAAATCGAGCTTTTAAAATTGGGTATGTCTCCTCAAAACCTGGATTTCCTGCTTTAATGGAAATCATGAGTTCACCAATTTTCTCCATGGCATTTATATCTGAAGCTTTGTAGAAGCTGATTTACTTTGCAGGGTATGTTATACATTTTGGTAAAATGCTTCTCTTTATATTTTCTTGGGTTCCTGGCTCATTCATTGATTACCCACCCTACGTACCCCTTGGGACTTTGAATTGATAATCTCTAAACTTTTTAAAGTGCTCTATGGGATGTGAATGTGTTTAAAAATGTTGCTGTTGTTTCAGTGTTCTAACATATGATCAACTTTGGAAATGTTTTCTATATACTTAAGAAGAAAGTGTGTCCTTATATAAAGTATAGAGATTTATAGGCAACAATTCAGTCTTACTATTTTATTCACTTTATATATAGATATATTTCTTTTTATCTTTTATTTTTGACAAGTTGATCTCCCAAAGACAGAGTTATGATAAATGATCCTATAATAGAAACATACACATATGAATGCACATACACACTTACACACCACAAACACATACATGTATATAAATAAAGGCAGTTTACACTTTTCCTATTACTATGAGACTGTTAAAATGACCATACCTACTAAATTGTGCAAAGTAATCCAAATAGTTAATGGAAAAAATTGCAATTGTTCTATAATCATTAAACATTTTTGTCAAACAGAAACTCTCTCATTGTCAGTTATAAACGTATAGGAAAAAGAAAAATTAGTACAACTAATAATTAGTATAATGTATTTTAAACATGAGAAACATTGAGAATTAAGTATTTTATGTCCTTATAAAAAATTGGAAAAGTAATTTGAACAAGGTTTTGCCCTCCTCCCATTGTGTACCTTGCAACATGGAGCGTTTTTCCTATGCCATACTTCTTTATAAATTTAGATCTACTTCCAATATTTTATTCTTCACATTTTTAATATTATAAAATATCTTTAAAAATTCCTTAGTGTGAAGTTTTTTTTTGTTTTTTTTTGTTGTTGTTGTTTTTTTAACCAACATCAGTTCCTCTAGGAGTTCTTCATCATTGTCACAACCATTTTCTCACCTGTGTGAATGCCTGTCTCACTGAGCTCCTCCAGCTGTGTATCTCGAGTCTCTTGAACAGTGTGTTTCATCATTCCTATGGTCTGCTATTTCTCATACAACTCAATTTATATTAGACTCAAATTTCACCTTCAGCATTATCACTTTTCGTTTACTTGCTGTACTTTAAATTTATTGGCCAATTCTCTCTTCTGATTATCCACTTTTGTAAAATGTCACATGAATTTATCACTGGGAGATAAGCAGGCAACACAACTACATGCTTAACTGTCTGTATATAAACCAACAAATGCACAGTGGCCAACCAAAGAAAAATTGTTTTTTAAATGAAAGAATAGATCACTGAATATAATAAGCTTCTGTTATTTACTTAGTGATTAGTGGACTGAAGATTAGCAGTGAAAATTGTTTATTTATATACTTCTCAAAGTTATTATATCATGGTAATAGAAATTTGAACCATTTTTGGAAAACTGGTGTTATTTAACGAAATATCAAAACTGTGTAAAATGAGGACTATCTATATATTTTAACCATATATACATGACATCCTTTTCTAACTGAAATTATTTTGTTCATGTTTTCATATAATGAGAATTTTTATTGTGAGTTAGAAATCAAGAGATTACTCTTAGTCCTCATATGTTTGATTCTGGAATAAGAAAAGTTTAGTTCTGCAGTTTGCAACTATAGCCAAAACCAAACTAAGAACATTACCTATTTTTTTTTTTTAATTCTCCACAAGTTAGGAATGTTGTTTTCTAAATTGTTTAAATGATTGAATAAAAATAAGAAGACTAAAGCTTAGTAAGGTGAAAATCATTTGTGATTTAAATTTTAGGGTCCAGAAATAATTTTTTTTTTGAAAAATCATTCCTTTACATATTATCTCTGGCTGCTTTCAAACTACAACAGCAGAATTGAGTGCTTGCAACAGAAGTTGTCTGGCCCTTTGAGGGGAAATCTGCCATACTCTCTACAGAAAGTAAAGAGTTTATACATGAATTATGTATGTATGGAGTATGTACATATAAATGATATGTATATAATGTTACTAGTGTATACTAGTAATTGACTATTATATCTGCCTTGTAGGTGACTTTTTTGTAGTTATTAAATTATACTTTTTTCACCTTTGTGGCCTTTTGTCTTTAGTTTTACTGTGTGTAAGACTAGTATGTTTACTACTACTATTTCCTTTTTGGTTTATCTGACTTTTTTCTATCCTTTTTTGTTAATGCCGTTGTTCTTACTTTTATTGTTTTAATTTAGTTGTGACATTGTTATTTGTTCATGCAAGTAAACATCAATAATATTTGTCTATTATCGGGGAATTTAAATTATTTATATTTATTAACATAGCAATATCTTTAGCCTTCCTTTCCCCCCGCCTTTTTTTTTTTTTTTTTTTTTTAAGTTTTCTATTGCTGTGTAACAGGTTCTTTCAAATTCAGCAGCTTATAAAAACACCCATTTATGGCCAGGCACAGTGGCTCACGCCTGTAATCCCAGCACTTTGGGAGGTCGAGGTGGGCGGATAAGCTGAGGTCAGGAGTTTGAGACTAGCCTGGCCAACATGGTGAAACCCCATCTCTACTAAAAATACAACAATTAGCCGGACGTGGTGGCACGCGCCTGTAATCTCGGCTACTCAGGAGGCAGAGGCATGAGAATCGCTTGAACCCGGCAGACGGAGGTTGCAATGAGTCGAAATCATGGCACTGCACTCCAGCCTGGGCGACAGAAGGAGACTCTGTCTCAAAAAAAAAAAAAAAAAAAAGAAAAAGAAAAGAGAAAAAAAATCCATTTATTAGCTCACAGTTCTGTCGGTCGGAAGTTCAGGTACGGCATGGCTGGGTTCTCTGATCAAAGTCTCACAAAGCAAATATCAAGGTTTTGGCTGATGTGATTCTCTTCTGAAGATGGTGTTCTTTCTCACACTTATTCAATTTGTTGCCAGAATTCACGTCCTTGCTACTACAGTTCACTTTCAGCTCTGAGAGGCTGTCCAAACTACTTATCCTGTAGCTCCCTCCATCGTCAAAACCAAAAATAGAGAATCTCCTTGTTTTGAATCATCCATCATACTTTGATACTTTGATTCCCTCTCCAGGAGGGGCCCTGACCTTTTAAGTCCTCACCTGACTAAGTCAGGCCCGCTGAGAATACGCTCCCTTCGTAAAAGTCAACTGAGTTGGGACCTTAATACCTTATTTCCTTTGGCAAAATCGCTTTATAGCAGCACATTCGTATTTGATTGAATAATTGGGAGAAGATGTGCATATACTGGAGTCGGAAAATTCTGGGGGTCACCTTAACACTGTCTATGATATTTATCTTATTTTACACTGCCCGCATTTTATGCTTACTTATTTGTTTTACATGTTTGCCCTAACGTCTATGGATTATTGCCTGGTATTTTAGGGTTTGATTTTTTGCCTTCTTTCAGTAGTAGGAATGCTGCGTTTCCATCTTAACACAAATTAGGATAGACTGCAAAGTGTTTACTCAATCTAGCTTGATCGGGACTTGTTTTTTATCTAAACTTGTCAGGTCTTTTATCCACAGGATGCCAGACAACCAAAACAAATTCAAATGTTTGTACCTTTTATTCTTTCTCCAGCAGCATTTTGGATTAAAATATAAGTAAACTGTTAAGATACCATTTGTAAACAAAGGTACAGATTTTTAATAACGCTTTATGTGATAATATTTTTATAAAATGGTATATATTTATTAGAAATTGAACTCTCTTAAAAGGTTGATAAGTGAATTTTATGACTTTAAAAATTAGATTTATTTTTAGTAATCTAATATCAGTATTCACTAAGGTCATTTTGAGTAAATAATTAGACTTTTTTTTAAGGGTTTAAGATTCTCATACTGCTATAGATATTTTCATCTCTAACTCTCCAATTCTACAATTAACTGCTCTCAGCCTTAAAAGTACTAAGATATTGAAGGAACATCACAAACCAAATAAACGGAAAGACATATTTTAATGTTCCTTGTTGCTAGCAAGGCCTATCTTCTTGATGTAAGATTGGCCTTGTCCTGCTGTGCGAGACACAAAAGATCTCTCTTCAGGTTCACTGGTGGTTCAGTGGCCTGCTGTGATTTCCCCCAAGTCAATAGTTGTCAGCCAGTCTGTTGACTATCATTTGAGATAATAAATCTTGATCTTCTCTATAGTAAAAGTCAATATCCACTTAAGTTAAGAAAATAACAGTGTTTTCTTTTATTGTAAAACAGGAATTGCCTACACCTTGTTTGACCTAATCAACTAATCTATTTCCTGTGGTGAAACCCATTTTGACATCTTTTGATTGGGGGAAAGAATACTATGGACAGTCACTAAAATGTCAAGATGCTGTGATTTACCTCTCAAAATGCTTTTTCCAATTTAGATGGGGAGATTCCTACAAAGAAAGTTATAAATTCAGGTTTACTGGCTTTACTATTATCTGTGACTTGTATGAAGCAAAGTATTTGTTTATTTGCTAGTATTTTAATTTATCTTTAAAAGTAAAATTGTGCTGAGACATAACTTTGAATAATTTCTTCACCATTTATTATCAATTTAGCCATGTGGATAATATTTAAAATATAAGCTTTCTAAGCAATAATTCTTTCATTTACAAATTCATAGTAATAATCATACGTACTTTTAAAAATATTATTTTATTCCTAGTTTTGACATAGAACTGTATATGAGGCATATAATAAAAATGAAGTTTTTTTTTTTAATGTGGCTTAAGTTTCCCATTTACCAATTGTGCACAGATAGGATTGAGACAGGTAGTATCCATGACCTGATATTCCAGATAGATTAATAATCAGGATCTCATATCAAAATATCCTTTTAAACTGCATCATTTCATTAATTTTTAATTCCAAGCCAGCAAAGAATTGAATGGTCTTGGTTTTCTTTTACCTGAATTTTCTCACTTTAGACATCTCCATATGCTCTATCCACAGTTATTTTTGATTATCTAATTATTATAAAACTTATTAACTTTTAGTTTTCCCTCAGGATTTCTCCTCCCCAAGTATTCCATTTCATACTTTAAGGTTCAGCCATAGCAATATTTCAAAAACAAAAATTTAGGTTTTCAAAGAATAATAAGTTTTATTATAATAATGGTGGCTACTATATATCTTCCCATTTTAAGAAATGTACATATTAAACAATGGTGATTGTTTAAACTAAACATAGTAAACATGCATAGTAAATTAAACTATGCATAACTTAAACCTTTTGATAGTAGAGAAATATTTTATAATAGCAAAGCATCATGCCAGGAAAGAGTTAGGTGGAAACCACACAAAAATATAATTAATTGAAAACTTGATATTATAAGTCATGGAATATATATTAAATCACTTGCCACAAAATAATACCACATTAAATGAGAAAATACTTGCAATAGGACTAATATGTAGGAGTTCAGATATTGGCAACTGGGAAATCAGAAGAGGTTGAGTTTGAAGTTTAAGAAAGGCATTGCTTCTGGGAAATTGAGCTTACTTGAATAGAGGAGCTGTCCCTTGGAAGTTTGAAGGACACAAAAGGTGGAAATGAAGTAGCTGGTAGAAAGAATAATATTACAAAAATCAGAAAAAATACAAATTCAACTTCTCAAAATGGCACAATTGATTGTAAAAACCTCCTTACTTCATTTTGCCAACAGAGGAGAACATTATTGAACTAAGAAATGTAGTTATTAATTCTATCAGTTATTCTGTTACTGCTAGTCCAAAAAAATTGGAAGTGTTACAAAATAAACAGTAATGGTAGACACACCCATATAAAGCTAACTTAATAAGAAAATAAGAGAGGAGAATGAAAACACTAGTTTGATTTGCTCAATTAGTTTTCACAAGCTAGTATAAGCAGGTCTAGTATATTGCACATTTCCATCATTTTTTGATCACTTCTTTTCTTGTGAGCAAGATATTCCAGGCTAACCTTGTATTTTTCCTGCTCAAGCTCAGGGGCCAGTCATTTCTCCCAGGATGAAAATTCTTTCTAAAGAATAACTAGGAGCAGAGAAAAACACTGTAATCTAGATTACATGTATTTAAACAACCATCTATAGATATGCAAAATGCACAAACTCCTAACAGCTGAACATGGAATGAGTTAATAAATTTGAAAAAAGTATTAAAAAGGACTAAATCATATCAGAAACAGATACTAAATTACAAGTCTTCTAAGAGATGATAAATGAGTTGAGTTATATAAATTAAAAAATTGAAGAAATTAAAATGAAATCAAGAAATAAAATATGCCCTAAAGGGATCCATAAGGCAGACAAAAAATATTTCTTATAAGTACCTAAAAACTATTTTTGAAAAAATTGCTGCTTACTCCAAAATTGGCACAGAATGGTCAACTCAGACATATACTAACAAAACTATTTGAAGTTGAAGATAAAAATAAAATCTTTTGGTCTAGGGCAACCAAGTAAATAAATCAAGTCTGTTATGAGCAAATGAATATTAATTAATCCTCAGCCTTCCCTTCAGCAATCAATGCGTGAGTACATAAATATTTTTTATGAAACTCATGGAAAGAACATGAAAATGAAGGATTTTATAGTCAGTACACTGTTCTTCAAATATAAGGAATATAGGAAAATGAGCAATCCAACACATATTTTAAAGCTTGTAAGAATTCAAGACAAACTGTGTTCATGAGTCTTTCCCTACAGACAACCAGAAGGGAAGATTCACTATATAGAGGAGGGAAAATTTGACAAAAGCACTGAATATGAGTATTACATATATCTTACTGTAGATTTAAAGCTACAACAACATAGAAATAAATATTTTGAGTATTCTGTGAATTATATATGTTATGGCATATTTGAAAATAAAATTTTGTTAATATTGAGAAAAAAGTGAAAATGAAAAAAGTTATATCGATACAGAGGAATTAAAGGATATTCAAAAGATATCTTTTAAAGCTGACAAAATATTTGAAAGTAAAAGAGTACTAGAGCTTCATTAAAGCTATTAGTTTATAAAGTAGATAAAAGTTTCTTAAACATCAAAACAAATTAAAATAAAATTAACAAGCCAGGCACAGTGGCTCACGCCTGTAATCCCAGCACTTTGGGAGACCAAGGTGGGCAGATCATGAGGTCAAGAGATTGAGACCATCCTGGCTAACATGGTGAAACCTCGTCTCTACTAAAAAATACAAAAATTAGCTGGGTGTGGTGGCACATGCCTGTATTCCAAGCTACTCGGGAGGCTGAGGAGGGAGAATTGCTTGAAACCAGGAGTTGGAGGTAGCAGTGAGCCAAGATCTCACCACTGCACTCTAGCCTGGGCAACGGAGCGAAACTCCGTCTCAAAAAAAAATAATAATAAAAATAAAGGCATATAGAAAAGAAAGTAAAAATAAACACAACAAATGAGCATATTACATATAAAAATACAATATTGTATGACAGAATAGAGACTTATCATTCAATGTTATTAATGCCTATAAATGGATTAACTATCCTATTAGATGAAAAATATTAGATGAACTTAGATAGCAAAATCAAATTGTGTGCTATATAAAAGTTACTCTGAAGAGGAGACTTATAAAGATTAATTATAAATGATAAGAAATGTATACAATAAACCAGCAGGAATTGTGATTCTGATATTAGACCTGGTTG
This sequence comes from Homo sapiens, assembly GCF_000001405.40. Classification (NCBI taxonomy): domain Eukaryota; kingdom Metazoa; phylum Chordata; class Mammalia; order Primates; family Hominidae; genus Homo; species Homo sapiens. The sequence goes on along the minus strand of NC_000003.12, from coordinate 163,887,337 downwards.
AATTTGACTAAAAAAGGAGCTAACTGAACAAAGATTTGGAGTTCATCATAGTAAATATTTTATTTCACAGTGAAGATATGACATTAAGAGTATCTATAGAACAAATAAACCAACAATAATCTCCTTAATTCAGAATTTTTTTAGGTAAGGAGAAATTAACTAAATTACAAATAATAAAAATTTTCATCCACTGCTCTTATTTCAAGATTAATCAAGTGGTTGAAGAAAAGTAAAGCTCTGGAAAACCTAAACAACACAAACAATAAAATTTTATGGGTAGATGATAAAAATTATAGCTTCTTCTAAACTACGTGTGAAATAGCTAAAATTTCTTGTCATATAAGCTCACATAAAATCTCAATTAAGTAAGCAGAAATAATTCAGATTATATCCTTTAATAGAAGGATAGAACTAAAGATTAATTATAAAATAAAAAATACAATGACTTTCCACTTATTAATTAAAATACCTATATATCATATATCCTATAATATACGTGGAGTATATGTTTTCTTTAAACTTTTTCTTGATTAAAAGGGGAAAATACATGCATAAATTTCAGAATTTCAAAAAATAAAACTACTTGGTAACAGGGATATAGTTAAGGCAATGATTAGACAATAATCCGCAACCATTTGTTAACTTGAATCATTGGCAACAATTATTCATCATCTCTTTGCCATGTAACTTTATAGTGTTTTCTCACTTTGGGAGAATCAGTTTATTCTACTTCTTAAGTCTGGGCTTGGCCTTATGACTTTGTGGACAGTGGAATCATAGCAGATATAATGGAGAAGAGACTTGGAAAGCACTTGCAATTATGGCTTATATTTTTTTAATCCATTTTGTCCTTTTGTCGTTTTCATAGAACATACTTAAACTACTCAGAGTGAGGATGAGAAATATGTGAGGAAAAGAGTCAACCAAGCTAGACAGGTTTCCCCAAGGCTATTGGGAGAAATGACTGACTTTGATGACTGACTCTGTTGGCTAGGTAGGGAAAATACAAGAAAAGCCAGGAATACCTATTTCATCAGAAATGCTACATATAACCAGTTTAATTAAATAGGAAGTCATGAGTCCCAAAATATGTAAATTAGTAAATTAACAAATAGAAGGATAAAGAAAATATCATCTTTTAATTAGGATACCAGTGGAAAAAGTATAATGAAAGACATAGTAAATCATTACTTGTAATTTTTTATTATAAAAACTTACTCAGCAAGGACTATCAATGGATGTTATAATTAGAGGGGAAACGTTTGGTGAAGAATAATGTATTTATACAGCCTGAAAGTGTTTCCCCAAAAACTACTTTTAAATAGCAAAGAGAAGGAAATAACTTTATAGCAAAGATATGATCAAAGTGAAGATCACCAGTAATGAAAAAAAAATCATATTCTCCATTATAGATGCGCTGAGAAGAGTGCAGCATCTCACCTATGGTCTTCCAACATCAGATCAACCCAAATTGAGCTTCACTCTACAAATAACTGGCTTGCACACATAAAAATGTCAATGTTAACGTTATAGGGATTAGTCCCTGAATGCAAGCTTATGAGAGATAAAGAAGGACTAACTGTTCCAGATTAAAGTAGGCTAAAGAAACATGACAAATAACATAACATATGTCATCCTTAATTGGAAACTTGGTAGATTTTTTAATGAAGGCCAGTATTGGGACAATCAGTAAGCTTTGATTAAGGTCTATAAATTAGATAATAAATAGTAAGACATTAGAGTTTTATACTTAGATTATATAAGAGACTCTTTTTGTTCTAGTGAAATACACTGAAGATTGGGGAGTGAAGTCATATCATTTTTGTAACTTGCTCTCAAATGATTCAGAAAAAATAATAATATGATTATATATGGAGAAAATTACAAAGCCCACTGGCAAAATATTAACTATTGAGGAATCTTAGTGAAGAATATGTATATGGATTCTTTATATATTGTTCTTGTTCTTACGAGACACATATTAAAGTGTATCTCCTAAATCACAAAGTCATAGTATGTTTAAATATTTTGAAATTTAACCTCTAGACACGAAACCTCTAGATACTAAATCTCTAGGAAACCAGTAAGTTTCACCCTTGTTTTATCCAGCCCCTATTCAAGATGGAGTTGCTCTGGTTCAACCACTTCTGACAATAGGTCATAAAGTAGATAGATAGCTACATAGGTATATAGAGACAGATTATGTCTCTCCCATTAGATATTAAGTTACCTAGATTTATAAAAATGTATTAATTTCTCATATTCTTAAGGACAAACATACTTCCTAAGATCAAGAAGTGTTTAGTAAATAATATTATAAGTGAATAAACCTATATATGCACATATGCATACATACATATATAAATGAATATAAAATTATTGAAAAGCATCAAAACTATTTTTTACAAATATTTTTTGTGTAAGTAGATATTAGGATTCTTGCAGACATATCTCAGGGACCACTTTATAGAATAGGCTTCAATGTGAAGAAAAATTTAGAAAGCCAAATGGATTTATATAACCCAGACCATATGTTTTTGAGAACGGTTTTCAATAATAGGTTTTGTATATACATATTCCTAAGAAAATAATTTTAAAAATTCCATGGCTAAAACAAACATAAATTTATTTGTGTTCTGGGATCTTTCTTTTCTGTAATGGTGAAGTAAAAGCACAAGAATTCATTGATTCTTTAATATGTGCCTAGAATAATTTCAATACATAATGTAAAAAAAATTTTTTTAGTTCTCCTTATAACCCTAAGAAGTAGGTCCTCATTTTTTCAGATAAAGGAATTAAGTTATAGAAGTATTAAGCAATTTGTCTGATTATTTGAAAGTGAAAGATACTGGATTTGAACCCAGATTTCTAACAAATTCACATCAATTGATACAGTAATTAGGTGATACTGCAAAAGTAACAGAATATCCATATTTTTAGGAAACACAGAATTCCCATTCAAGAAACACAAACCACTTTCTAATTCTCCTAACTTCTGTGACCAGGAAGCTATGGAACAGTATATAATAGCTGCTAGTCACTTTAAATAAGAAAATAATTAGAGGCACAATATTGAGGAGAGGGGTTGTAATTAGCTTTCAGAGGAAATTAATGAGGGAAAGGATTTCCTTAAAATGGAAAGGAAAAATGGGACAGATCTAGTATCCAAGATCAAATAGCTAATTCATAATAGACCACTTTATAATAAGTGAATAACCATATCTCAGTGTTTGAGTTAAAAGATGAGAATAAAGAATAAGCTACTAGAAAAGAAGAGTTGGGAAAAAGTGCTGTTAATTGAGTAACAAGAGAATGAATATGAGGGACTAGAGACAGGGAAATTTTGACTATCATCTAAAAAGCATTACAGTGGCTTTGGTTTCATGTCAGAAAACTAATAAAAACGTAGTTCAATACACAAAGACTCTCCTGCTAGAGGCTGTCCTTAATAACACTGTGATAGGGTGGTACTACAGGTATGAGTAGCACATATGTATTTTTGTAGTATTCTGATTCATGAGAGTTCATCAGTAGTAGGGTATTTATTTTTTTTCCAAATATTAAGATTTGTATGCTTTATACTTTAAATTTTTAAATTGTATTATATATATTCTCTTATTTGATCTCTATAAAAAATAATGTGGGGAGGTTGAGGCAGATATAAATATCATCTTTATTTTTTATATAAAAAATAATTAAGATGCAGAATCGTTACATATAGTTACTATTGGTTAGAATGCTAGTGAATGGCCAAGTTAGGATCAAAATCACTGTCCAAACTTCCAAAACATGAGGGTATAAGTAGAATTCCATTTAGATTTTTTTATTTTTATTTTTATTTTTGTGAGACGGAGCCTCAATCTGTCACCCAGGCTGGAGTGCAGCAGCGCAATCTTGGCTCACTGCAACCTCCACTTTCAGGGTTCAAGCCATTCTCCTGCCTTAGCCTCCCAAGTAGTTGGGATTGCAGTTACGCACCACCACATCCGGCTAATTTTTGTATTTTTAGTAGAAATGGGGTTTCACCATGTTGACCAGGCTGGTCTTTAACAGTTGACCTCAGGTGATCCACCGCCTAGGCCTCCCAAGGTGCTGGTATTACATTTAGTTCGTATTTACATATGTGTGTATATAACTGAATAATAAAGTGTCCTTTGTAGAATAGTATTGGATACACAGTAAGTGCAAATATGAACAGTTATCTTTTTATTTTGCTAAAACACAGGGTTTCAAAAATGAAAAGTGAGGCTTTGTTATTAATAAGCAAAATGGTACTAATAAGCAGAAAATGTAGAACAAAGATGTTCAAATATAATGGGCAAGGAAAAATAAATTTGGACCTTTGGAGTCTTGTAAAATATTATTGTAAAATAATATTAGTAATTCAGTTTAAGAGTTTTTAGATATAGCACTACTGGGGATAACTTTATTTTCAAGTTTGATAAGAAAGAAAGGAATATTGAAACCAAATGAACCATATTGATTGGGAAGCTTACTCACAGTTGGAATGGGTCCAATAGAATTTAATTGAAGGAAGACAGATGGGGGTTAAAAAAAATAAAAAGAATAAATAAGCTATATGTGATCATTAAAATACAGATGCTTCTTGGCTTACAATGGGCTTATATCCCAAGAAACTCATTGTAAGTTGAAAATATTTTATGTATGAAATGAATTGAATACACTTAATCTACATCACATCATAGTTCAGCCTAGCCTACCTTAAATGTGCTCAGAGCACTTACATTAGGCTTTGTGTTGGATGATTTTGCCTAACTGTAGGCTGTTTTATAATTAAGTGTTGAATCTCATGTACTACATATTACTATCCCAGGAAAATATTAAAATTCAAAATTTGAGGTACATTGAAATTGCAACCTTCCCCTATGATTTAAAGTTGCAAAATAATAAGTAGAGACACCGTAAGTCAGGGACTGTTTGTACTAGAAATTAGAGGAGAGTTAGAGAGAAGGATACATATAATGATCTGAGTAGCTATTTATTTAACGTGCCTGGCACTTTAACACTCCTCTAACCTTGGAGGTAAAGTAGATAGAGAGTGAGAAGGCAATCTTGTGTGAAACAGTAACAGTGGAGTAGGGCAGGATCAAATGATTTCCTGTAGGGGATACTAAACCAAAAAGCGGAGAGGCTTATGCTTAACAATAAATAGTCATTGGTTTTCTCTTAGTTAAACATAGTCAATGAATCTCAAAACAATGCCTTAAATTCGTCGAAAAACTGTAATTTTCCCCAATTGTTAACTCTCAAAAAAATAACATATAACTCTATTTAGCCTTGCTGAATAACCTTCATTAAATTATAAAAACAACAACAATGGAAAAGTGAGAATGAAAAACACAATTTACATTTGACATTTGAACCATGAAATTTTGACTTGTAAGCTTTTAAGGATTTGTAGTAATTGGTAAAACATTTTGGAAGCTGTATGACTTTAGCTTGTATTCGTTAACACCTCTATTCCTTTCAGGCAATCATCTGTACAAATTGGGTTCAAGTCTCTAGTTATGTTTGAGCATCACATACAGTTATTATTTTCTACATAATAACCAAAGAAACATTAATATTTGTGTCAAAGTAGAAACAATGCAAATAAAAATGTCAAGGCTTTAGACATTTTTAATATTCATAGGGTATGAGTGATAAGAACATTTCTGGGAAATATGATGTAAATTTCTGTAACAAGTCAAAATCATCAAACTAAGATTAATACTGTGGAATTTGAGAGCTTCTTAAGCAGTCTTGGAAAGTGAGCTTATCTACTGTTACACTTTGATCTGAAAAAGAGCATTTCACTCATGTATTGCTTCCAGGATGAAGATATCCAACTAGCAGACAAAACAACTCTAGAAATCAATGGGATTACGAGTTGTAGCCAAATCTCTGACAGATAAAAAGGTAACAAGTATACAGGGTCTCAGGGATTTGCAAGATGATGTGACAGCACAGATAAAGCTTCAACTGAAGTTGTACATTAACTGGATGATTATTAGGTTATTGCACAAAATGTTTCACTCCATTTAGTAAGATTTCAATGTATCAGAACACAGTGGCAGGTATAAACAAAACTAGGCTTGGTGTCTGGCAACTTAGAGCTTACAATAAAATTGGAAATTTACTCTCTGGGAAGAAGACGAAAGAACATTTATATAGAATGAATATTATTCCACTTTATATCCAACATTAGATATAAGTAGGATGGATATTTAAGTATTAAGCACTATTATGAGGAAAGTTCCTTGAATAAGTGAAAGAACATGTATTAGAGAAAAGTCATTGCAGGAGAGGGAAATTTCTTATGCCAAAACTTGGAGACAATAAACATAGTAAATTAAAAATATATATATTAAGTATGGAGCCCACATAGTAGAGAAAGAGAAAAAATTACTGAGATGAAGAGAAACAAAGCCGTTTTAGTGAAGTCATGATCAGTGTGTAAAATTTAAAGTGAATATGCTAGACCTGTGGCAGTTTCTTAAGAAACTCAAATAAGGAAATGTCAATGATATTTACCCAATTTATAGCAATACGTTTTAGAAGTAGTTTGCAAAGTAAGTTGGTGAATGCAAATGCAAGAAAGCGGGAATATTGGTTAGAACCACAGGGTTTTGAGACACCAAATTCAGGGTGGCTATACATGGAGTAGTTTGCAGTTGCCCCAAACTATATAGCATTCTTTTATTTAATCATAAGAAGTTAATGTTAAAGATCTTAATAATTGTATAGATTATTGAAAAAAAACACAGCTTGGATAACACTTGTTCATATGACTATTTTTATTCTTTCTTATTGTTCTACGGGTGACACATGAATATTTTAGATAGAAATAATCACAGTAATAATGCTCATAATGTCTCTGTAATCTCATGGTAATGTTTGTGTGTGTGTCCAGGGGGGGTCGGGGGGAGCATATGCGCATGTGAATGTGTGTGTGGTGCCCGTGTTGTTAAAAGGTGTTCACAATAAATGGTTATGCATATTTAATCTTTTCTGAAATATGTACTGTCATTTATATGATGAGACATTATTAGTGGATTTTTTGTCTTCCATATATTGAACTTTATAAGTAACTCTTCATTTTAAAATATTTTCGTTATGTTCTTTCGGTAAGTTTCTCCAAGCAAATCTGACACAGTCAAGTGTAAGGATATCTAAATCTCCTCTAATGTACTGCCATAGATTTTCCTAAAGAATTTCTACCAATTTACTTTAAATTGGTATCTTTAATCTTTATCTTCTACTATTCCAAACTGCCATTTTCATTTTTAAATGATATAAAATTTAAGAATTTAAAAAAAGAAAACATTTTAAAAGATCTCAATTATTACTTGGCATGAGAATTATAGGAAGGTAAAGTTGAACATAGTCCCAAATTTGGTTTAAACCCCTTTAAATTGTTACAGTTTCAAAAGTTATTCTTAGAGTTGTTCAAAAGAATAATACTTCTTTAGATAAGAGTCAAAAACACTCTCTGTCACCAGAAAATCAGCTTGAGATATAATGTTACCTCTGCAAGCACTGATTTTGTTTTTAGCAGATAAAGATATATGTTGAACTATTATAATTCTCTTTTTTAAATCTCTACAACTGTTCATTGAGATAGAAACCATCAGTTCTATCTTTATATGTGAAGAAGCTAAAACTTAAAGTATTCAAATAACTTTGCTAAGATCATAGAGTTAATATATAGCAAAGCTTCAAATAGTAAAATATAAATTTTATTCAGTTATGTCTCACAATACATTAATGCATATTCCTAAGTATTACTACTTTTTCATTGTTGTGAAAGTATTTTTGTCAAGTGGTTAGATAGACATTAGCAGCTGGGAGGGGGTAAAGAAGAGAGCAGAAAGGCTGTCCCTAAAACAGCAGGCCATGGTCCACTTAAGTTCAGCCCCAGAACCGCCCACCCTAAACTCCCTAACAAGTGGAGTTTGTGGTAGAGTCCGTGGCCAGCACATCTTGTAGAAAGAGAAACTAGGTCACAGGTGGAAATCCCCTAAAGTGGCAAATGCCCAGTAGCATAGAACTGTGTCCTCAGGTTCACTTCAAGCTCATTATGCCATCAATATAATAAAATTTAAATGTGGTTATACCACGCTTGTTGCGGGAAGTCAGGGACCCCAAACAGAGGGACCAGCTGAAGCCACAGCAGAAGAACATAAATTGTGAAGATTTCATGGATGTTTTTTAGTTCCCCAAATTAATACTTTTATAACTTCTTACGCCTGTCTTTACTGCAGTCTCTGAACATAAATTGTGAAGATTTCATGGACATTTATCACTTCCCCAATCAATACTTTTATAATTTCCTATGCCTGTCTTTACTTTAATCTCTTAATCTCATCATTTTATAAGCTGAAGATGTATGTCACCTCAGGACTCTGTGATGATTGCGTTAACAGCACAAATTGTTTGTAAAACGTGTGTTTGAACAATATGAAATCTGGGCATCCTAAAAAGGAACAAGATAACAGCAATTTTCAGGGAACAAGGGAGATAACCACAAGGTCTGACTGCCTGCAGGGCCAGGCAGAACAGAGTCATATTTCTCTTCTTGCAGAAAGCAAATAGGAGAAATATCGCTGAATTATTTTCCCAGCAAGGAATAACTTCAGGAAAGGAATGCATTCCCAGGGAGTGGTCTCTAAAATGGCTGCTCTAGGAGTGTCTGTCTTATGTGGTTGAAGATAAGGGATGAAATATGCCCTGGTCTCCTGCAGTGCCCTCAGGTTTCCTAGGATTAGGAAATGCCAGCCTGGAGAATCCTAGTCAGACTGGTTGTCTGCTCTCGAACTCTGTTTCATGTTAAGATGTTTATCAATGACAATGCGTGCCCAGCAGGACATAGAACCTCATCAACAATTCTAAGTTCGCCCTGGACTTGTGATCTTGCTCTGCCATTTGCCTTGTGATCTTTTATTGCCTTTTGAAGCATGTGATCTCTGTGACCCACTCCCTATTCGTACACCCCTCCCCTTTTGAAATCCCTAATAAAAACTTGCTGGTTTTGCGGCTCAGGGGGCATCACAGAACCTGCCGACATGTGATGCCACCCCCAGAGGCCCAGCTGTAAAATTTCTCCTTTGTACTGTTTCTCTTTATTTCTCAGACTGGCTGAAACTTAGGGAAAATAGAAAAGAACCTATGCTGAATTACTGGGGGCTGGTTCTCCCGAAACATGCTCCCTAGTGGGATTGTCTTAATGACTTACGGGCAAGAACATGCACAGTTTGATTTAGCTATGTAACCATAAAAACTGCCAATCAAATGACATCATCCTGTCACTCAGACACTGCTGAAACCTCAACTCCTCCCAACAAAACCCTCATAAAAACCCCCTAATTGTAAAGAGGGGATGATTTCACTTCACAGAAATCAATCCACTCTCTGAGAGTATAATACTGTGCTTCAATAAATGTCTCTTTAAGCTTGCATTTTGGTGTCAGTTTGCAATTCTTTGCTCACTATCACAAGAACCAAGATTGCTGGTCCAGAGCTTCAGCTCTGTTGACCTGCTCAGTTATAGGGTCCATCACAATGCAGAATTCCCAATAACATTTTTATTACATTTTCTAATTCGTTATTTTGGTACAGGAAGATCAGTAATTTTTATTGCTGTTTTATCTGCCCTATTTACCCAATTCTATTATTAATTATGAAAGTTTTACAATTGGTTTTTAGATATTCTGAATATGTTTTGCAAAACCATTTGGTCTCTCACAAATATATAATTTAGCAAAAGTGTTTATAATTAGATTTTACTCAGTTTGGAGAGATGAAAAAAGAGGAGGAGAGGGAGAGGGAGAGAGAAAAAGAGAGATAGTGAAGAAGCAGAAAATAGACAGTAAAACTCTAATTTAGGAGTGTGGCTGTGAAAACAGAAAGGAAGGCAGACACTCCAGCCTGGATGACAGAGTAACACTCTGTCTCAAAACAAAAACAAAAACAAAAGTACCAACTGAAAAGAGGAAGGCAGAGATGAAAGAAGCATTAAGAAAATAAAACTAGGTATAAAATCATAAACACTTTTGAAAGTGAACAAGAAAGAGAAAGTCATTAATAATGAGCACAATATTTTGGATCTAGGGATTCCTCAAGTAGAAGACCAAGATAAAATTGAAAATTAAAGTTGGAGTCAACATACATGTCTTTTCTATCATAATAATGTGTTCAAAAGTTATATGATACTACCTATGAGACAGATTAGTTGAAGAAGAGATAGAAGAGCTAAAATTAGAGTGAGATTATAAGAAAAAAAACAAGAAAAATACATAGAAACTATTCATAGTTAAAAGAATAAAACTTACATATGACTTAAAAACAAGGGTAATTATTCCTATGCTATAAATCAACCATTGTGTTATAAAGTATTCTCAATATGCTATAACCTTACTACTTACCATTTAGGAGCTTTCAAGTTACTATGCAAGCAAGGAAAACATTGCTATTTGATATTGGGGTCTATATGAGGGAAACTGTAATTAAAGAAAACTTAATGCTAATTAGATGCTGGTGGTGGCCATTATGTAACAAAATCTTGTCTGCAATTTTATCTTTAGAAAATAAAATTTGAAATTGCACCAAGTGTATTTTAAGAAACACACTTTTCTTCAGAACAAGTAAAAGTTCTTTCATAATCCAACATTTTCTTGTTTGCAATATCTACAATATAATTAGAACAGCTTGGAAAAATTCCTGGAATATTTAACAATTAATATTTTGCCACTTTCATTGGAAAGGTGGGATATTTAATCTGAACATCTAATTTGTCTCTAAGTAATTTAGAAAAAAGTTTTATTGTTGTTTCTAGAGAGAGAAATACACTATATATTATGATCATGATTTCCTTTTCAAAACACTGTAACATTAGAAATCTTTGTGTATTTTGTCCTCTCTAAAGTCCCTTGTTATAAAATTTCAATGAAAGATAAACTGTTTTTCATTTATATTTAACCAGTATATTTTAAAAATCTAAATGCAAAATTTAAATTGTGTAATTCAATAATATTTTTATAAATTATTTTCATATTTTTAAAAGCAAAGTAAAATGTTTAAAAATATAAGTAAATTTATTAATAAAAGTTTTTATATTTGCCAAATGTTTTAAATGTGTTCCTTTAAACTAGGTTGTTTTCTGTTCGACAACAATTTAAAAGTTATCCCATATCTATCTGTTAATTACCTCAATTAAGCCGTTTCACAATGTATAGGTTTTTTAAAACAATATGTATGTGATAAATATGTGCAATTTTTAATTGTCAATTAAAATAAAAATGATTTTAAAATAAAATAATCAAATAGACAATACAAAGTAAATGCATTCTATGCAAATGCAGTTTAAACATAGTAACCTTCTCAAAAATTATCTCTTTACATAAAAAGTGAAATAAGATTTTTTTAAAGCATTACTTAAACTGAGTGCTACTTAACAATCAATTGATTGGCCAATGATAACCAGTAAGTAGATTCAATTATAAGTACAATTGCCAAGTATAAAATACATAAAGTTTACAATTATATTATTTTTTTAACTAATGTAAAAATATAGCAGGTCTGTATTAGTTCGTTGTCACCCTCCTGATAATGACATACCTGAGACTGGGCAATTGACAAAAAAAAGAGGTTTATTGGACTTACAGTTCCACGTGGCTGGGGAAGCTTCACAATAATGGCAGAAGGCAAGGAGAAGCAAGTCACACCTTATGTGGATGGAGGCAGGCAAAGAGAGGAGCTTGTGCAGGTGATTTCCTCTTTTTAAAACCATCAGATCTTGTGAGACTTATTCACTGTCATGAGAACAGAATGGGAGAGACTTGTCCCCATGATTAAATTACATCCCATTTGGTCCCTCCCACAACATGTGGTAATTCAAGATGAGATTGGGGTGGGGACACAGCCAAATGATATCATTCTGTCCCTGGCCCCTCCCAAACCTCACATCCTCACATTTCAAAACCTTATGCTTTCCCCACAGTCCCCCAAAGTCTTAATTCAGCATTAACTCAAAAGTCCACAATCCAAAGTCTCATCTGAGACAAGCCAAGTCCCTTCCACCTATGTGTCTGTAAAATCAAAAGCAGGTTAGTTATTTCCTAGATACAGTGGGGGTCCAGGCATTGGGTAAATACAGCCATTCCAAATGGGAGAAATTGGCCAAAACAAAGGGGTTACAGTCCTCACAAGTCCAAAATCCATTGAGACAGTCAAATCTTAAAGCTCTAAAATGATCTCCTTTGATTCCAGGTCTCACATCCAGGTCACGCTGATGTAAGACGTGGGTTCCAGTATTTTGGGCAGCTCCACCCCTGTGGCTTTGCAGGGTACAGCCTCTCTCCCGGCTGCTTTCACGGGGTGGTGTTGAGTGTCTGCAGCTTTTCCAGGCACACCGTGCAAGCTGTCACTGGATCTACCATTCTGGGGTCTGTAGGACGGTGGCCCTCTTCTCATAGCCCTACTATGCAGTGCCCTAGTAGAGACTTTGTGTGGGGGCTCAGACCCCACGTTTCCCTTCTGCACTGCCCTATCAGAGATTTTCTATGAGAACCCCGCCCCTCATGGAGGGGAGTGACTTAGGAATCCCCACCCCTCATGAAGGGAGTGATTTAGTAAACCACTATTACAATCATAATGCAAAACTGTTCCTTCATCCAAAATAACTCACTCTTGCTATCCCTTGCATCCACATCTTCCTCTTACTGGCAACCAATAATGAATTCTCCATCACTACAGCTTTGTCGTTTGGAAAATGTCATAAAAATGAAATCACAATGTATATGACCTTTTTAGACTGGCTTGCTTTGCTCATTATACAGCTTTGGAGAGTCATCCAACTTTTCAGTTAATTTTAGCTGTATTGAATTTCATTATACAGATGCTTCACCATTTGTTTTTCCATTAAAGGACATTTGTTTTGTTTCCTGTTTTGAGCAATTATGAAGAAAGTCACCATATAAATGCTTTCTTTGTTTTTTCTTTCTTTTTTTTTAAGTTCTGAAATACATGTGCAGAACGTGCATGTTTTTTACATAGGTACACATGTGCCATGGTGGTTTGCTGCACCTATCAACCAGTCATCTAGGTTTTAAACCCCACATGTATTAGGTATTTGTCTTACTGCTCTGCCTCCCCTTATCCCCCACCCCTCGATGTTCCCCTCCCTGTGTCCATGTGTTCTCACTGTTTAACTCCCACTTATGAGTGAGAACATGCGGTGTTTGGTTTTCTGTTCCTGTGTTAGTTTGCTGAGGATGATGGTTTCCAGCTTCATCCATGTCCCTGCAAAGGACAAGAACTCATTCTTTTTATGGCTGCATAATATTCCATGGTGTATATGTGCCACATTTTCTTTGAGAATATAAGGTTTCGTTTCTTTAGAGTAAATATCTACAAGTAAAATTGCTGCATCATTTGGTGCATTTATGTTTTAATTTATAAGAAATACCAAACTATTTTCCAGAGTGGCTATAACATTTTGCATTTTCAGCAGTAATGCATGAGAGTTTCTGTTGCTCTACATTCTTGTCAGCACATGGAATTGTCAGCAGTTCTCCTGTTACTCTAATATATATGTACTATTTGAGTCTTTCAATTTATGAACACAATAAATTGATATTTTTAAATAAATTTTTACATTTTACTGAACATACACACATGTAACAAATGCACAGGAGATATAAATCATACTATTTATATATATATCATATTAGCAATTTGATAGCAAATATGAGTGACTCACAAATGCATGTATTCCTAATAATGGCGTAACCTGCATTCTGTAAATAACTAAATATAATTTATAGTTGCTTAGTTTGTGGTTCTAAAAAAATGTTGACTGAAAGAATTTAAAGCAATATTTAGTTTTAAAAAAAGAAGAAGAAAATAAAAGAAAATAGGGCCAAGGTCAGTCTGAGTCCTGTTAAACACTTAAACCAGTATGGTTGTTAGAACAGTTTAGCAACCTAGGATTCAAAGGAATCTTAGTCCAAATTCCTCCTTTTAAAGATGACGTGAGCACCAGGTAAGTCAAACAAGCTGCATAAAGGCAGAATCACACTAAAAGAACAAATTTTGAATTCTCACAACTGTATTTTCCTCATTTAACCCTATGTGCTCTTCTTTACTAAGCAGATTGTAAGGAAATAGAAATAACACGTCTAAGAAACAGTCCAACGCTCACATCAAAGGGTGTATTGTGAAAGTTCATAAAAAAGATAACAATTTAATTGTAAGGTCACTTTAAAGATGTTTGGCAACTACTGGAGCATAGTTATAAAATAATAGCTTTATTTTCTGTGCAAATAATGGTTGCTCTGTTGAAAGTGTTCGGTCTTTATGAAGATAAATGAGACATCTAATTTTTCTAGACTGCCATGGGGCAAGACTAATTTAAATTTACCTTATAAAAACCAATAAAGTTTTTCTATTTTAGAAAAAGTGACTTTCTTTTTAATTAAATAGGACAGTTTTAATCTATAGTTAGTTCATTTTCATTCTTGCTTAGAGCCACCTCTTAATTTAGGGAAAGACATAGAAACTTAATAGACAAAAATTAAAGATCTAGAAATCAGGAACTCTTCCAAGTCTTAGCTTATATTCCTAAACACTTTCCACATTGGCTATAATTCTATATTCTGTTGAATTATGGCAACTTTTGCAAAACACATTACATTCTGAAGAGGCAAAATGAGTTTTGAAAAGGAAGTTTTGAATATCAATAGTTATTCAGCGAGCTTTGACTATATGAAATTGCCAGACATGCTGGAAATATTCCACTCGCTCCTGCAAGGATGTACTCCACACTTCACCTTGTTCTCTTTTCTGGGAGCTTGAGCTGTGTGGCCTACATGGCAAGGATCCCTTGTTTCTTCTCTTCTTGGATCTAGCTAGTGCAGAGCTCCAGGAGAAATTGGGAGGAAGGACAAGTGAGATTGAAATATTTATTCTTCTGGCTTTCTTCCTGTGAGATAACTGAAGGCTGGTTTATATTTTCCATGCACGTTTTCACCTTCTGTCAAATACTACTCTTCACATAAACCTTCATATCCTCATAGTTTTCCCTGTTCCATAGATGTGATTGTTACTTGCCCTCTTCACACCTTTAGGTCTAGGAATGGTTCCAGAATATTACTAACTTTAGGAACTGCATTGTGAGCTTAGGGTTTTCAAATTACCCAAATCTTGTAGATATTACTTTTATTAAACTGTCTCCAAAATTGTATTAACTGTGTCAATCCTTTCTTCTGGGACCTTGACTAACAAAATGTGATCTTAAAATAGCATGGGAAGTTTGATACAAACAAAAGCATAGATGCTACCTTTATTATAATTATAGAATATGAAATGAATACCTGTGAACCCAGGACTCAGCATAAGAAGTAGAACATCATCAAAAAAATAACATCTGTCTAAAAATCTGTGCCTTCTATGCTCTCTCCATCCAAAGTTCATCCTTATCTGAATTTTGAACAGCTTTATCACATATATGCTATATATGTATAAACAATATATGGTTTTCCTTTGCTTGATTTTGATGATTTTACAAATGATATCATACTCTATTGACAGTTGACTTTTTTCACTAATTTTTATTTACAAAGATTTTTCCATTTTGTTGCATGTACTTTTTTGTTTCTACTTGGAGCACTATTGTCAAATTTTAAAAACACCTGTGTACAAGTTATTTAGGGAATATGCATAAAAAAAATCTAGAGTTTATGTTCAGAATGACATTATTAAATGTGGTACATAACTGCTGAATTTCAAAAGATAGACACACGTGTTTCTCGGAGAATTTTTGTCAAGTACTATATTTGTTTCTTTTTTCATTTTTCTATCTCTCTTTAATGAAATGCCTATTTAAATCGGTTGTGCATTTTTCTATTTTTTTATATCTTATACCTTTCTTGATGTTTAGAAACTATTTTCTTCTAATTCTGGAAACTAAACTTTTTGCTGATTAAAAGTATTGCAACAATCTTTTTCCAGAATATAGCTCACATTTTATTTTTATTAAGGTATTTCTGGATAAGTGTAAATACTTAATTTAATGCTGCATTTTCCTCTTAAAGTTAGGGTTTTCTGTACACAGAATAAAAACTCTTTTTACCTCAAGATTAAAAAGATATTCACCTACATTTTATTCTACAGGTTTGCACAACACTAAATTTTTAGAAGTTAATTTTAGTATTTTTACTACATTTATTGTATTTATTGTTCTTCCTCCATTAAATGACCCATTTATTTATCAATTGGATCTACAGAGTGATGATACAAATGAGATAATTCTCTTTCTTGTCATAGTGGGTATTGGATATTTGTAAGAAGCAGGATCCTTTTAATATCTAATTGTTAAAAAAATTGGGGTGGAAGTAAATTGAAAACAATGGTTACGTCTTATTTTCAAATTAATTTCAGTGTCTGAGGAGTCATATTAACCTATATCATTACTTATATATGTAGCTTGTCTAGCAAGAATTGGGACAGTATGCTTTAGATCTACTGTGTTAAAATTTTTACATATGAATTTGTTCAGCAAAATAACAAAAAAGGAAACGTCAATATAAAATATGTAAGACCAATTAGATTATTCCAAAAATATAATAAATCTTGATTAAATATATATATATATTTATAGTTTCTAACTATATTATGTGTAGCATATACTTGATAATCCAATCGATATTGTGCATGGTAATAAATTTAACCCTACTGGTCCCACTGATGCCTCTCATATGATTTGAAAAGTGACAGTTTCTCTCTCCTTCCAACCATATCTCTCACTGAGTGTTTTAGTTTATGAGAATCAAATATGGATTCATTTCTATGGGATTATAATTCTTCCAAAAAGGCTGTTACCTCTCTGTGTTTAAAACAGGAAGAACTACTGTGTGAAGCAAAGCTGTCTGCATTTTCTGTGTCATGGCATTTACCACATCATTTTGTGGCATACCACATTAGATTCTCTAAAAAGCTCCATTAGCCTGTACATAACAAGGGCTTATTTTGTCATTTATTTATTTAATTAAAAAATCTTTATTAAGTCCCTATACTAAACAAGGTAGTGTTCTAGACTTGAGAATATGACAATAATTTTAAAAAATAAAATTGTTACTTTCATAAAGTTTCTATTCTAAGAGTGAAGACATATTAACAATTAAATCAATAATATATTTTCAGATAGCAAAAATTCTAAAAATTAAACAAAGCAAAGGAAGGCCTAGAGAGTGGCCTTTGAGTTCATCAACCTCACTCTTGTATTCCAGGGCCGAATACAGTATCCAGCTCATATTAGGAATTTTTGTTTTAACAAATGATGTATTAGAAAATACTAGAAAACAAATTGCCTCTAGAAAACTTATGTTAGTGTTTATAACTATTTATCCTAGATAGGGATAAACATCAAGTCTTTATTGACTTTACTGAGCTATTGTATTGATGTATTATTTTTGTGTTAATTCAACAGCTCAGCAAGTCCTGAAAAATAAAGAAAAAAGATGAAGGGTTGACAGAAAAAGAAAGAAGATTAAGTTTTGAGCATAGAATATGTGTAGGGTTTTTTTTTTTTTTGCTTTGTTTTTAAATCTCTGCTTTAAGTTACCTCTTGCCTCTCGCATGCAGAACTTCTGTTTCTGTGGCATCTTTTTCGTCACTTCCTCTATGAGTCTTCCTTGTTGTAGTTGCTTTTGTTGTTGTTGTTTTCAATTCCCTTTCTCTTACCTGTAGATACATTGTAAAGTTCTTCTGATACAAATGGGAACTTGAGCTGTGTGGTCTACATGGCAGGGATCCCTTGTTTCTTCTCTTCTTGGATCTAGCCAGAGCAGAGCTCCAGGAGAAATTGGGAGGAAGGGCAAGTGAGATTGAGATATTTATTCTTCTGGCTTTCTTTCTGTTAGGTCACTGCAGGCTGGTTTATGTTTTCTGTGCAAGTATTCACATTTTGTATTCTATACTTCTTTTGGATGAATTACTTTTGTGTTTTACTTCCTGCTATGTGTTGAAATCTCTAAAACATCATTCTGTCTGATTGATCTCCTCCTTAAACACTTCACCTGTATTTCTACTCTTTTTTTTAATTATTCATTAACTCGTGACATTGGAAAACTCAATCACATTTTTCTTTGTTTCCAAGCTCCCAACAGAGGGATTACCACAGAGTTGCCAGTCATCATCACGTTTCATCAACACGTTTGAAGAACAGTTAACATTCAAGATTTAACACATGACTATTTTCCAGAGTGTGACCATGGTAATTAGTGTATTTTGTTATGGTTGTTTTTGTGTGTTTCTGTCTTCCTAATCAAATGGTGATCATCCTGAGAACAGAATAAGAATGCTGTGTAAAATGCAAAATATCTAGGTAAATTTGAATTTTAGGTAAACAATAAATATTTTTTGTAGAAATATTCCCCAGATCTAAAATAAATATTTTTATCCAACATTCTGTTGTAACTATTGATTTTGAATATTTATCTGCTGAATTTGGTAACCCTATGACAAGAGCATGCCCTTTTATTCTTGTCTGTCTTGAAATAACTAGTATATATCAAACTTAATCAATGTTAGTAAAAAATATGCTATGTGGGGAAAAATATATAACATATTTAAGGAGGCATTGAGGGACTTGAAGTGTAGTGGAAGAATAATTAAGGTCATGAAGGTCTAAAGGTGGAAAATAGGGCCCATAGGGTTGGATTATACTAAAATCACATCTGCTGATTTTAAATCCTATGGAATATTTATGCTGATTATCAATAGTCAATAACTACTAAACTAGAGAACATTTCATTTCAATTTTTTTCTTGGATTATCACATTTGTATATCATGATATTATTCACAAAATTTTTAGTGTAAATCATATTGAGGACAGGAAATGTTGATTTAGACTTTTACCTTTGTATATACTTTCTGCATACTGCAAACATTTCTCTTTCTATAACATAGGTCTGCACAATATGCTGGCTCAAAGTAATTTATATCTTAATGGGACATAAAATTCAGACATACATAGATTAAGAATTCATCTATTTTGATGCCTTTTCTCAAGCTTATACATACTAAAAAGACCATCTTTCTTGGAAATGATATTCAGTGTGTAGTAAAGTTCACATTTGATAAGGGAACCTAATAATGTATATGATAATTCCTTTAATATATCACAAAACAGATGTGTTCAATGCGTGTTGTTGCACTTGATAAATGATAATTGGGAATTGTCATGATTGATAACCTTTCTATCAATTCCTGGTAGGCTACATGAATGTTAAATATTTTGAAATTTTCGTAAAGTTATATAAGTGAGCAGCAATAAAAAAAAATGTTACTTTAAATAAGTGCCTCAAGACAGAAAAGCCTCCTACAAATTTTAAACCTGGTAGCTAGTGATCATGATAAGCACTACAGCAAAATATAGACCCATTGTAATATATTTCTTTAAAACAGTACTTCTCACACTGTGGACTACAGACTCTATCACTTTAACAGGGCTTTGCAGAAGGAAGAATAGGGCACAGAGTCTACAGGAACACAACTCCTGATCCTACTGCCCTGCTAAAAGCTAATTCTAATTTGAAATAACTACAATCTCTTAGATGACTACTAATTTAGTTCATTGTTTTTAAGCTAAACAATCCTAGGATTGATTTATATTCCTCAGATATTATTTTTATTCCTCAGACATTATTTTCAAAGTCCAGAGGCTTTCACATTAAGGAAATTATATCATTTCCTTAAAAATAATTATTGTACTGGGTTTACACTGGGAAATGTAAAACCTACTCTCTACAGTGAAAAGCAGCCATAAAACGGCCTCGTGTTCTCAAAACGCCTCTTCAAACTTTATGTTAGTATAAAGAATTTAACACCTATTTTTATGATGTTGGCTAAAACCTTAAGCAGCTATAATGGCTCCTTGATGTATTAAAATACTACTGATAATTGTTAAGATTTATCAGTAAATCACAACTTATTGGAATTACTTTTTCACATTATTTCATGATAACATTTTAAAAGTAGAAATGGAGATCAGAATAACTGTAACAAAATGGCAAAGGGTAAAGTATGGAGGACAGAGAATAAAGAGTAAAAGGCGGCTTCATGTTTTACTTTTCATATTTGTGCAATTCTCTTCCTTTTTTTAACATTAAGTCTTTCTATTTTTTAACCCATATATAAGGGTGGCAGATTTTTAGCCCTAAACTGCTCAAGCTTAGATTATGATCCCAGTAATCCAAAAATAGAACCTCAGTGAAATATATTGAGACATCAGTTTTTCTAAGTCCTCTAAGAATTAAAATTTTTATGCACATTAGATATTGTTTGGCAATATCTTATAGCACTAAACATATATACATCCAAATTCAACAATTTTACTTCTATGTATATTTCAAACAGAAAGGAACTTCAAAATGTACGGACAAGATATTCAGAGCAGCATTATTCATAAATAATAGACATTGGAAACCGTCACTACTAGTTAACAATAAAATGAATAAATATATTGGCTATATTCATATAGTGAAACAGTACTAGTCTACAATGCAAATGAATAAACTTCTGCTCCACCTCAAAACAATTCTAAGTCTCATGAGCATAATACTGGCAAAAGTAATGAAACACAGGAATGAGCATAATTTTTATTCATTTGTAGTTTGTTTAAAAGAGGAAAAACTACTTTTAAGTACTAGAAGTAGATAATGGTTTCATTCTGGGGAGGAAAGAAAAAACAACAATGATGGAGGGCACAAAAAAGGTTACTGGGCCTAGTTTGTGCCTATTACATGCAAGAAACAGAAAAGCACCCCTGACATCCAAGCTAGCTTTGTACTATCAACTTATAAGTGTTTAGACCTGGTTAAAGTCCTTGATATTTTCTCAGCAAAGTTATATAGAAATGCATGAATTTTGAAGGGATATGTAATATTCAAATGAAAAGTAAATTATGTGAATGCTTAGGTAATAATGTATATCAGGATGTGAATACTTAGGTAATAATGTATATCAGGATGCAAATACTTAGGTAATAATGTATATCAGGATATGCCAGGAAACTTTCTAAAACTCTGTCAGGAATAATAATCCTTTAAATCTAATATTACCTATAATATTACATCATACTGAAATCTACAGCTTATTAATGTAAATCGATCGACAAAATCTTTAGTGAAATAAGTTGGGCACCACTATTATCACTTACAAAAAGTAAACAGGTTGTTTAAAAATCGATATTTTGAAAATACTTACAAAAAAGGCATACCTTTATTATTCGTGACTTACAAGGACTTAAGTCATAACAAATACATTAACAAATTATTCACTTGTTTGGAAAAAAAGATGCCAATCCAACATTATATAAAGGAGCAGGGCATGTAAGACTAGAGGACTCTTGGATAAGACATTAGACAACTTGTCAAGACATGACTCATTGCCAGAAGAAAGATTTTTAGCAAAACTACAAAGAGGTCTCCCTACCCAGGGAGATCATGAGTAGATAGTCTCCAGACCATTTCCAATAGTGTAGACAAAATAAAGCTTTTTGTAAATAAACTTAATAGAAAATTATTGACTTATTATACCCCCAGAGAGAAGGTTTTATTCATACCATAAAATTAGGACATGATATGGCAGCAGGACATTTAGGAGAAAGGCAGAATAACCCCTGGACAAAAATACAGCATTATGTCAAGGACAAAGCTGATTTATTTCAAATGCATTCACCAGAACATTTCAGAATAAGCATAACTAAAACCATGGTCAGATACTCTCTCTTTTTCTGTCTTTTAATATCTCTTTCTTTTTCCCCTTTCTCTTTGAGTTAATTATAGGAGAGGCAGAAGACAGAACATAGAGCATTCTAATTTGTGTTTCCCCTCCCTCATCTAGAAAATATTTAATATTCAAATATTAAAAATAATCAACTATGTAAATGCTTAGGTACTATTCACGGCATGAAAAGATCGATTTCTTAAGACCTCGGAAACTGAATTAAAATACTTAAAATTCACCTGATTCATGGGCCCGTCAA
Organism: Homo sapiens; assembly: GCF_000001405.40. Classification (NCBI taxonomy): domain Eukaryota; kingdom Metazoa; phylum Chordata; class Mammalia; order Primates; family Hominidae; genus Homo; species Homo sapiens. The sequence goes on along the minus strand of NC_000003.12, from coordinate 163,865,291 downwards.
GTGCACTGCAAATTCAAAGGAAGTTGAATTTTCACAATATACATTTTGGAGTTAAACAAAATCTAAAGCAATTGGACAAAAGATAACAACTAAATTATCTTTAAGATTTAACTTAAATTCTAGAGATTTAAACAGAAATCAACTTCGGCTGATTTCATTCAATTGTCATCCTCTCAATTATATAAGAGGCTTCATCAAGAAATGTGAAAATAAGGATATTTTCCTACCTAAAATTTTTTCATGACCATGACACAAGAGAGTAAATGGAATCAATTCTTCTTATTCTTTTTTGTGTCTTAATATCCTTCTTAATTTTAATTTTAAAGCTTATTTTCCTAATATTGGTGGGTAAACTGAAAACAAGTAGCAAATACTATGTATAGCTCTAACCAAACACACACAAAGATTATTTAAACTTTACTCTTCAAATTCACTAGGATATTGATTGGAACTAGAGTAGGACATATCCTACATGCTGTCTATGTTGTATTGTGATGGCACCATCTCAAAATCCATGGAGAATTAGACAAAATTTCAAATATAAAGCCTCTTACTCCTATATTTTAAGCAAATAATTTTAAATCTCAGCTTTAGAGTGAAGATAATCTGATACAATCGGTTATTGTGCCTTAATAAAAATAAATACAAATAATGTTAACTGATGAAAATTATTAAGATGTGATGTTGAAACGGGAAAGTTCCCTTATCCTCCTTGAAGGACTTGCAACAGGGGTGTGGCTTGCTCCTTTGGTCTACCTGCTGCTCAATCCCGTAGGGGGAGAATGCAGAGAGGCAGGTGCAGAGGCCCTGGGGAGCACTTTTGGGCTCCGGCTGCCCCACGGCAGCATCTAGGGGTGAATCGAGTCACACATGGGCTCTTGGGATGAGTGCAAGTTTTTATTGAGTGGTGGAGGTGTCTCAGTGAGATGCATGGGGATCCAGGAGGATGAGGGGACAGAGAGGGAAGGTCATCTTCCCCTGAGGTCTGGCTGTTCTTGGCCAATGTTCAGAAGCCTCTTCCCTCTTTCTCTGCAGTGCCTCCGCACCTCTCTCCACCGCTGCTCTCTTCTGTTCCTCTTGGTGTTCAGCCGCTTGTGTATGTGCCCGCTAAGGTCTTCGGTTTATATAGGAGCAGGATGGGGGGCCTGGCAGGCCAAAAGGCAACTTTTTGGGTGCACAGCCAAAAATGCTGTTCTCACTTAGGGCCGCAGGTCTTCAGACTTGAGGATGGGGACTTTGCCAGGAAACAGCCCTCTTCTACCCAGTATTACCCTATCTCCTGTCGGTATCAGTATTACATACAAATGAAGATATCAATAGAATATCTATATTTAAAACGATGGTTACACCTGTGTAAAATGATATATGGACTAATAAGAAAGTGGAAGACAAAAACTCAAAATGGATGATGTGTTAAAATAGTATAATTTGATGTTTTTCTTATTTTTTCTGATTTTCTCACTTTTCTGATTTTCACTAGTTTTTCACTAGTCTTTTCTCAAGAAAGCAGAATCCACACAATGCACTGAATGTATATAGTGTTTAAAGGCAGGGATTAGAAACATGTGCTGGAAGTGCTTTTGAAGAGAAGGGAAGAGAAGGTTTCACAGAAGGACTCATCCTGTAAAACAGAATCAAGTAATGCTCAGGAAGTTTACCTAGCGCATATTCCATCTGCTCTCTTTCTGAAAATGCTCAGGACTATAATGGCCTTTTATTAGCAGGCTCTACCTAGGAGCTAGAGAAACTGTAGAAATATATTCTGGGAATTGAAAGTTTCTGTTTTCCTCTCTGGGATGTAAAGGAAATCTTAGAAAGGATGGCAGTGATGACAACTTGACTGAGGACAATACAAGCAATACTGAAATATAAATATTGTTCTATATAGGCATACCTTGGAGACATTGCTAGGTCAGTTTCAGACCACCACAGTAAAGCAAATGTTGCAACAAAGTGAGTCACACAAATATTTTGGTTTCTCAGTGCATGTGGAAGTTATGTTTATACAACTGTGGTCTATTAAGTGTGCAATAGCATTATGTCTAACAATGCAATGCACCTATTTTAACTAAAAATATTTTATTAATTAAAATTACTAATAATCATCTCAGCCTTTAGTGAGCCATAATCTTCTTGCTGTTGGAGAGTTGCTTACACATTGATGGCTACTGATCACTGAGGTGGCTAGGGAAGTTTCTTAAGAATAAGACAGCAATCAAGTTTGCTATATCAACTGACTTTTCCTCTTACAAAACAATTTTTCTTTTGTGGCATGTGATGCTGTTCGATAGCATTTTACTCAGAGTAGAACTTCTTTCAAAATTAGAATCAGTCCTCTCTAACCCAGCAGCTGTTTATCAATTATGTTTATGGAATACTCTAAATCTTTTGTTGTCATTTCAGCAATGTTCACAACATCTTTACCAGGAGTAGATTCCACTCAAGTGACCACTTTATTTGTTCATCTATAAAAGGAACTCCTCATCTGTTAAAATTTCATCATGAGAGTGCAGCCAGTCAGTAACATCTTCAGGCTCTACTTCTAATTTGAGTTCTCTTGCTATTTTTATCACCTCTGCAATTACTGTCTCTCCTGAAGGCTTGAGGCCCTCGTAGTCACCCATGAGAGTGATAATCAACTTCTTCCTAACTCCTGTTAAGGTTGATATTTTGACCACCTCCCATGAATCACAAATGTTTAGTAACATCTAGAATACTAAACCCTTTCCAGAAGATTTTAAATGTACTTTTCCCAGGTCCATCAGAGGAATATAGTATTTATAATAGCTATAGCCTTATGAAATGTACATCTTAAATAATAAAACTTGAAGTTGTATTGAATATACTCCTTAATCACGTGCTACTGAATGAATGTTGTGTTAGCAGGCATGAAAACAGCATCAATCTCCTTGTACAGTAGAGCTCTTAGGTGTACAGTACATCTCTGTTGGAGCTCTTACGTGTCTAGGAGAATTGTCAATGAGCAGTAATATTTTGATAATAATCTTTTTTTTTTTCTTCTGAGCAGTAAGTCTCAACAGTGGGTTTACATTATTCAGTAAAACTTGCTGTGAACAGATGTTCTGTCATCCAGGCTTTGTGGTTCCATTTATGGAGCACAAACAGAGTAGATTTCACATGATTCTTTAGGGCCCAAGGATTTTCAGAATGGTGAGTGAGCATTGACTTAAGCCTAAAGTCTTCAGCTCCATTGGCCCCTGACATGAGAGAGTCAGACTCTTCTTTGAAGCCTTGAATCCAGGCATTGACTTCTCCTCTTTAGCTATGAAAATCTTAGATGGCAAAGGTTTCCAATATAATGCTATTTCATCTGCATTAAAGTGTGCTGTTTAGTGTAGCCACTTTAATCAATTATCTTTGCTAGAGCTTCTGGATAACTTGTTACAGCTTCTATGTTAGCACTTGTTGCTTCACCTTGCACTTTTATGTTATGGAGTTGGCTTCTTTTGTTAAACCTCATGAACCAGACTCTGTTAGCTCAGATCTAACTTTGAAATTTCCTGTAATTATGTAACTTTTGGCTTTATAAATGTAAGGCTATAAAATAAGTACCTCTCAAGAGGTTTATCACTTTGGTTAATTAAGATTTTTATCTTGTTACTTTAAAAATTTATTCCTATTCATGCTTTTGTTTAAAAATTCTAAGCAGTCTGAAATGAATATGGATACAACTTCCAAATTACAGTTACATGTCATTTAACAATTGTGATGCATGCTGAGAAATGCACCATTAAGCAATTTTGTCATTGTGCTAGCATCTCAGAGTGTACTTAACACAATACTAGATGATATAACCTATTACACAACTAGGCTATGTGGTATAGCCTATTGCTCCTAGGCTACAAATCAGTATAGCATGTTGCTGTACACAATAGTGTAGGCATTTGTAAAACAATGGTATTTGTGAATCTAAACATATTTAAACATAAAAAAGGTACAGTAAATATGTGATATCAAAAATAAAATTGGTATGCCTTTACAGGGGATTTACCAGGAATGGAGCTTGGAAGGCTGGAAGTTGCTCTGGATGATACAGTGAGTGAGTGGTGAGTGAATATGAAGTCCTAGGATACTCTAGATTTTACAAACATGGCACACTTAGGCTATCCTAAATTTATTAGAACATTTCTTTCTTTAATCATGAATTAACCTTAACTTACCCTAACTTTTTACTTCATAAATTTTTAATTTGTTAAAAACTACTGACTTTTGTAATAGGACTTAGGTAAAAATACAAACATGCTATACAGGTTTACTAAATATTGCCTTTTGTATTTCCTTATTCTATAAGCTCTTTTCTATTTAAAATTTTATTTACTTATTTTTCACTTTTTAAAGTTTGTTATAAACTAAGACATCAACACACAAGCTTGCTGAAAACTAAGACACAAACACACACATTAGCCTAGGCCTACACAGGGTCAAGTATCATCAATATCACCATCTTCTACCACCATATCTTGTCCCACTACAAGTTCTTCAGGGGCAATAACAGGAATGGAGCTATCAACCCCTATGATAACAATGCCTTCTGAAATATCTGAAGGACCTGCCTGAGGTTGTTTTACAGTTAACATTTTAACATTTAAGTAAAAATAGTACACTGTAAAATAATGATAATAATTATAGTATAGTAAATACTGGCGATAGGCATTTTTTTAGCTGATTACATGCTTATGGGACCACCATCAACTATGTGATTCCTCATTGACCAAAATGTTGTTATGAGGTACATGATTCTAATATCATTATCTGATATAATTTTTAAGACTTTTAGTTTCAAACATTCTCTGACTTGTAAATTTATAAGAAAATACTTTTATTTTTTCTTGTGTCTTATCAGACATTCCTTGATTTTAAAAGGACAATTTAGTGCCCTTATATTTGAATAATTAGGGTTTTTAATGTTTTTTCTTTGTGCTTCCATACTGTTTAACCCATTTATGACTGAGTTTGCAATTATTTGAATTGCAAAATCAGACCCTGGTGATGACCTTGAGCAGTAGGATATAAGTAACTCTCACATGCTTAGCATTCCAATAGTGGAACACTGGGCATAAATGGGTTTTATTTTCTTTATTATGATGATGTTGTGGAGGACACATAGATTTCATATTTATTATCCTACTGGTTACATAAAATCTTACATACTTGTACTGTCTATAAAATTTCCCAAATTCTTTCATTATTCAATATTTTCTTTGAATTAGGGTGCACTCTAACCAGACTGAATATTGCTTTCCATCTTCTTTGTTTATGTATTTTAGAATTTTACTTCTAACATTTTTAGTAAGAAATAGCAGTTTGCATTATCAGTGGTAATAAATATTATGTAGCAGTTGGTCCTCCATATTCCTGGACATCATGTCATGAATTCAACCAATGGCAGATGAAAGATATTTGAGAAAAAAAATGGATGGTTGAGTCTGTCCTGAATATGTACAGACTTTTTTCTTGTCATTATTCCCTGAACAATACAGTATAACACCTATTTATACAGTATTTATGTTGTGTTAGGTATTATAATCTAGAGATGATTTCAATTATATGAAAGGATGTGAGTAGTTCATACTCAAATACTATGCCATGTTATAGAAGGGCCTTGAGCATCTGTGGATTTTTAATCTGCGGTGGTCCAGGGAAAACTGTACTGCTGATATTTAATTAAATTTAAAACAATATTTTTGTTTTCATCATTGTTTCATGCAACCACCTCTTTCCCTTAGGAAATTCATCTTGAAAGTTACATAAGTTAGTAATTTTTTTTATCGGAGAGAATTTATAAGTAGCAAAGTTAGTTTCTATAAGTAGTGAGTAGCAAATTGTATTATTGTTATATTCCCTCGACATCTCTATTTCTCTCTTTTTTGAATGATAATTTAGCCAGGCATATAATCATACATTGTCATTTATTTTTTCCTCATCACTTTGAAGACATTAATCTATTGTCTCCTACAAATATTGTTCAAATTAAAAGCAATCTGCTGATAGTTTGTAGTTCTTTAGTAGGCCACAAAATTGTGCAGATATAATTTGGCCTGTAGAAGTCTAAGGTAAGGCTAATTTGTTTCTTTGCAATAAAAATGACTTGTACATCCTCCACTTTAGATATAATTTCAGACATTATTTTTTATCCTTTGTGGCTTTCGGTTTTTTTTTTTAAAGAAAAGAGGTTTAATTGACTCACAGTTCCACATGGCTAGGGAGGCCTCAGGAAACCTGCAATCATGGCAGAAGGGGAAGAGGCATGTCTTACATGGCAGCAGGTGAGAGAGAGTGAGTGTGTGATAGAGAAACTGTCAGATACTTATAAAACCATCAGATCTCATGATAACTCACTCACTATCAAGAGAACAGCATGAAGGACACTGCCCTCATGATCCAATCACCTCCCTCCAAGTCTCTCCCTCAATACATGGGGATTATGGGGATTACAATTCAAGATGAGATTTGGGTGGGACACAAAGCCTAACCATAACATTCCACCCCTGGCCCCTGCTAAATCTCATGTCCTCACATTTCAAAACCAATCATGCCTTCCCAACAGTCCCCCAAAGTCTTAACTCATTTCACCGTTAACTGAAAAGTCCAAGTCCAAAGTCTCATCTGAGACAAGGTAAATCCCTTCTACCTAGGAGCCTATAAAAACAAAAGCAAGTTAGTTACTTCAAAAATACAGTCATTGGATAAATGCTTCCATTCCAAATGGGAGACATTGGCCAAAACAAAGGGGATACAGGCCCCATGCAAGACCAAAATCCAGTGGGGAAGTCATTAAATCTTAAAGCTCTGAAATGATCCCTTTGACTCCATGTCTCACATCCGGGGCATGCTGATGCAAGAGGTGGGCTCCCATGGTCTTGGGCAGCTCTGCCCCTGTGGCTTTGCAGGGTACAGCCTCACTCCCAGCTGCTTTCACAGGCTGGTGTTGAGTGTCTGTGGCTTCTCCAGGCACACTGTGCAAGCTGTCAGTGGATCTACCATTCTGGGGTCTGGAGGATGGTGGCACTCTTCTCACAGCTCCACTAGGCAGTGCCCTAGTGGGGACTCTGTGTGGGGGCTCCAACCCCACATTTTCCTTCCACATTGCCCTAACAGAGGTTCTCCATGAGGGCTCCACCCTTGCAGCCAACTTCTGCTTGTACATCCAGGCATTTCCATAGATCCTCTGAAATCTAGGTGGAGGTTCCCAAACCTCAATTTTTGACTTCTGTATACCTGTAGGCCCAACACGAAGTGGAAGCCATCAAGGATAGGGACTTGCACCCTCCAAAGCAATGGCCTAAGCTGTACCTTGGCCCCTTTTAGCCACCACTGGAGCTGAAGTGGCTGGGATGCAGGGTACCATGTCCTGAGGGTGCACAGACAAGGAGGTGCCTGAACCTGGCCCACAAAGCAATTTTTCCCTCCTAGGCCTCCAGGCCTGTGATAGGAGGGGCTGCCATAAAGATCTCTGTCATGCCCTGGAGACATTTTTCCCATTTTCTTGGTGATTAACATTTGGCTCCTCTTTATTTATGCAAATTTCTGCAGTCAGCTTGAATTTCTCCCCAGAAAATGGGTTTTTCTTTTCTATCACATCATCAGGCTGCAAATTTTCCAAACTTAGGCTCTGCTTCCCTTTTAAACATAAGTTCCATTCCAATTTCAGATAGTCTCTCTCAAGTTCAACATTCCACAGATCTTTAGGTCAGAGCCAAAATGCTGCCAGTGTCTTTGCTGGGAGAACCTCCCCAAAGCATATTCAGTAATCACACACACACACACAAACACACACACACACACACAAAGAAAAGACAGAAAGACAGGAAGGATGATGGAATGAAGGAAGGAAGGAAGGAATCTGGATACAAGGGAGGGATCATAATACTGAAATGGAAGTCTACAATTTGACCCAACTGGAAATTCAAAATTTACTTAAAGAATTTATGAAACAGAAACATAAATGTGCACTGAATTTCTTTTGCACCTCTACAACATAGCTTATGGATTAACTTTAATATCTGCTAAAACACACCAATTGGCAAACCTTCATAGATTCAATCAATACTTGGGTTCAAATTACAGTAATACCTGGGGATCCTTCTAAATTTAAACAACACACCCCCTATAATGTTCAGGGAGTTACTGAACATAAAAATAGAGGACAAACAGTTATGCCCCACTTTAACTATCAAAAAA